>NC_000022.11:50575365-50808468 GCF_000001405.40 Homo sapiens | reverse complement strand
TAACCCTAACCCTAACCCTAACCCTAACCCTAACCCTAACCCTAACCCTAACCCTAACCCTAACCCTAACCCTAACCCTAACCCCAACCCTAACCTAACCCTAACCCTAACCCTAAGCCTAAGCCTACCCTAACCCTAAGCCTAACCCTAACCCTAACCCTAACCCTAACCCTAACCCTAACCCCTAACCCCTAACCCCTAACCCTAACCCAACCCGAACCCGAACCCGAACCCGAACCCGAACCCGAACCCGAACCCGAACCCGAACCCGAACCCGAACCCTAACCCTAACCCTAACCCACCCTCACCCTCACCCTCACCCTCACCCTAACCCGAACCCTAACCCTAACCCTAACCCTAACCCTAAGCCTAACCCTAACCCTAACCCTAACCCTAACCCTAACCCTAACCCTAACCCTAACCCTAACCCTAACCCTAACCCGAACCCTAACCCTAACCCTAACCCTAACCCTAACCCTAACCCTAACCCTAACCCTAACCCTAACCCTAACCCTAACCCTAACCCTAACCCTAACCCTAACCCTAACCCTAACCCTAACCCTAAACCCTAACCCTAACGCTAACCCTAACCCCGAAACAGAACCCGAAGCAGAACCCTAACCCCTAACCCCGAACCCTAACCCAAACCAGAACCCTAACCCTCACCCTCACCCTCACCCTCCATGAGTAATATGTCTGTTATATTTTGGGTGTCATGTGTGCATTAGGAATGCTGCATTTGAGTTGCGACGCTGCAGTTGAACCCTGCAATACAGCCCCTCGCCTTGCCTTGGGAGAATCTCGGTGCGCAGGATTCAGAGAGGCTTTTCGTTTCCCGCTTTCCACACTAAACCATTCTAACTGGTCTGTGACCTTGATTATTCAGGGCAGCAACCGGGAAAGATTTTATTCACCGTCCATGCAGCCCCGAGTTGTCCCAAAGCCATGCAGTACCCCCAACGTCTGTGCTGAGAAGAATGCTGCTCCGCCTTTACGGTACCCCCCAGGTCTGTGCTGAACAGAACACAGCTCCGCCCTCGCAGTGCCCTCAGCCCGCCCGCCCAGGTCTGACCTGAGAAGAACTCTGCTCCGCCTTCGCAATACCCCCGAAGTCTGTGCAGAGAAGAACGCAGCTCCGCCCTGGCGATGCTCTCCGGGTGTGTGCTAAAGAGAACGCAACTCCGCCCTCGCAAAGGCGGCGCGCCGGCGCAGGCGCAGAGAGGCGCGGCGCGCCGGCGCAGGCGCAGAGAGGCGCGGCGCTGTTGGGGAGACGCGGCGCAGGGCATAGACGCACGCCGGCACCTCCCCGGAGGGGAGGGGTCGCTGGGCGGGCGGGAGTGAGGCGCGGCGCAGGCGCAGAGACGCACGTCGCTCGGTTGAGGGTGGCGGGGAGTGTTGCAGTCGCACAGTCGCGCGCCGCCGGGCGGGGAGCGCGGGGGTGGCGCGGTGCACGCGCAGAGACACACGTCCCCGGCGGCGCAGAGACACACGTCCCCGGCGGCGCAGAGACGAGTGGAACCTGAGTAATCTGAAAAGCCCGTTTTGGGCGCCCCCTGCGTGCAGCCGGGCACTACAGGACCAGCTTGCCCACGGTGCTCTACCATTGCGCCCCCTACTGGCGACTAGGACAACTGCAGGGCCCTCTTGTTTACAGTGGTGTCCACCGCCCCCTGCTAGCGCCGGGGCACGGCAGGGCTCTCTTGCTCGCAGTATAGTGGTGGCACGCCGCCTGCTGGCAGCTAGGGACATTGCAGAGCCCTCTTCCTCACATTGTAGTGGCAGCACACCCGCCTGCTGGCAGCTGGGCACAGTGCCGGGCCCTCTTGCTGGCATTGTCGTGGCTGCACGCCACATGCAGGCACATGGGGACTACGCAGGGCCCTCTTGCTCCCGGTGTGACGGCTGCCGTCCCCTACTGGCCACCTCCTGCACCACTTAAAGTCAGAGCGCCAGTTATTAATCCCCATCAGTTCTGTAAATTAAAACTGAAAAGGAGCTATTACTGCGGAGAGCTGATGTCCCAGTTATTAACTTGGAAGACAGCTTTTCACCAAGAGGCAGTACAAAGATGGAAGATAACTTCATTGAAAAGAAATACAGAGTAAAGAGCTTATAGTACAAAAATAGGGAGGAGTAGGCTGATAGTGCATGAAAACAGCCTAAGAGTCCTGTGCAGGGATTTTTATTTTGGACTTCTTCACATTCCTGCCTCTGTCTCAAGTCTCCGCCTGTTTTCTTTCGTTTTCCTGCTACTGCCATAGGTCCCCGACTTGCCCCACTTAGCCTTGTGGGACCTCCTCACTGTTGATTGAGGTACATGTGTGGTGATCAATCCGAATCCACTCTGGCACCAGCCTCCTTCCCGCCATACCAGGCAGGCTGACAGCGGTCACGTTTGTATCTACTGCAGCTGCCTCTTTTGAATGTCTTTCTCTGCCCTAATCTGTACTTATGGTGCCAGGTTTCTCTTAAAAATGTCCCCTTTGTCCTTCTTATCAGCATGTAGCTAGCAATATTCTGACATTTTTATTGCAGAGTGAATGATGATTGGGGCATCTTTTTTTTTTTTTTTTTTTTGAGACGGAGTCTCGCTCTGTCGCCCAGGCCGGACTGCGGACTGCAGTGGCGCAATCTCGGCTCAATGCAAGCTCCACTTCCCGGGTTCACGCCATTCTCCTGCCTCAGCCTCCCGAAGAGCTGGGACTACAGGCGCCCGCCACCGTGCCCGGCTAATTTTTTGTATTTTTAGTAGAGACGGGGTTTCACCTTGTTAGCCAGGATGGTCTCGATCTCCTGACCTCATGATCCACCCGCCTCGGCCTCCCAAAGTGCTGGGATTACAGGCGTGAGCCACCGCGCCCATCCGATTGGGGCACCTTAAGAGAAGTTCTAGGGTGTTTCTGCGTAGGTACCTCTTCTCCCTCCTAACCACAATTGACAAGTGCCCATCCACTCCAGCACTAGAGATGCTACTAATATGTGCATTTTTGGTGGTCCCTCCAGGTGAGCCTTCACAGACTTTCCCTTTTCCAGGAGCTCCCCCTCCTGTTCATGTCTAGCTAGCTATCTACTCTAACAGAGCCCACTATCCTGTGTCTTTCCCAAAAATAGTGAGGGAATGATTAATTGGAAACCATAAGAAATGATATGCATGTAGATGAAAACTTTACAACTTACACAAATAATCACTCAAAATCATCCTTACACTAAAAATGCAAAACTATACAATTTCTAGAAGAAACTATAGAGGAAAAGCTGTGTGCCTTTGCGTTTGGTAATGAATTTTAACAAATGACACAGAAGGTTGATATACACAGAAGAAATGACAATGTGGATTTCTTAATATTTACAGTTTATACTCTGGAAGAGACCTTGTCAAGAGAACAAAAAGACAAGCCACATATTGAAGAAAATATTTGCAAAATACAGATCTGAGAATTTGTATTCAAAATATATAAAAAATTGTTAAAACTAAATAAGTTAAACAACCCAATTAAAAATGCACACAGATCTGAACAGACACTTCACCAAAGAAGATCTACAGATGGCAAGTACACTTACAAAAAGATGCTCAACATACTAGAGAACTGAAAACCACATAAAGATAGCACAGCTGGTCTATATCTCTTAGAACTGCTAAGCTCTTTAACAAATGACAAATTGCTGGAGGAAAAACAAGAACTCTTTTCATTGCCAGTGGAACACAGTGTATAAGGCCAAACTATGCCACCCCAAAATATAATGGTAGGAAACCAGAATATGCAACCCCAAAATATGTCCCTTTGGCTTAAGAATTATTCCAAGCTAATTATTTTGAAAAAAAAAAATGCTAACAAAGGAAGTTGTGAAAATAGAGTAGAAGTTACTTGTGTAAGGAAAATTTACATCTATAAAGGAAATCACCATTTAAAAGCTACCTCTCTCGACACCAAGAAGAGAAGGATAACTAAATCACTGAAGAGTCTTATCAATGGAGAATGCATGGACTTAAGTCTGTATAACGAACCTTACCCTTGTCTAATGTGCTTTTGCTGGTTAACTCCCCACTACTGCACCTCAAATCTTCTTTCTTTAAGTTGAAGATAGTATTTATGCTTGAATTGAAAGCCACCTGTTGGAGATTTACTCATTTTTCCCTGAGTATCTCCCATGTAACCATAAGATATACATGTTTTTAAACTTTTCTCTTTTTCTCATTTTAATCTGTCAGTTTTTACAGAGCGTTCCATCTAAGAATTCCAAAAACAGAAAATTATTTTTCCTCCCCTATTACAAGTTGGTCATTTTTTTCCAAAGCTAAACAAGTCTCACCTTACAATCCAAAAATAACATTCCTAGGTATTTTGACAACTACTTTGATGTTATTTCCCATCAAAAGCTACCATGCAGTTATTTACAGAAGCCCTATTCATAATGACCAAAGGAAAAAAAAGGAATCAGAAAGTCTTACAATAGATGACTGTGTGGGAATCCACTCAGACATCAAAAGTTGTTATAAAGATTATTTAAATGAAAACATTTGAGATACTGAAGATGAAGAAATCTTACCAGAACTTACTTTATCCAATTAAAGCACAGCTCCCAGAAAAATACAGCTGCCATTAACCCCATCCAAGGAGTTTCTTGCAAATTCAGCTGCCATGAAGACAGCGTACTCTTTCCCATTAGCATTGATAAATGAAAATTAAATTCTAAGCTCCCAACTGACTGAACAGACCCACTCTTGGCTGAGGGGACCCCAGAGTAACTTTCAAAACTGAGTTCTCAGCTTTGCTAGGATGGGATGATGGGGTTAAGATACACATCGTTATACCCCCTCCTTTGCTAACCATGATGAGGCTTTCTTCCCTAAGGATTTAACAGAAACCAGCCCTTTCAAAGCCTCCACCACTGATATCAACCTCTCCTTTCTTGCCTGATAAGAGACCACCCACGATGGAGAGGTTCTGGCCAGCGTACAGAGGATGCACAGAGCGAGTTTTCATGTCCTCTGCTTCACCTTTTAATGTCAGAGGGCTGAAAACTCCACCCTGGGATCATGCTAACACTGCCATTTTTTGTACATGGGACCCATGAAGAAGCAAGAAACTCAATTGTGCGTGCATGCATTTCTCCTTCCATAAATATTCATGACTCCTCCTAGAGCTTATTAAATAAATCTATTTGGCCATTCCACTCAGCATAAGTTGCTATTTCCTTTACCTCCTCCTTGAAGCATCTGTTTCTGGCTTCTGGCTGGAGGCTATGCTTCCCAGCCTGTCAGAAGGACAACCCTGCAGGCTACAACCCTTTATAGAAAATAAATCTCTCACTGGGTGGGTGGCTCATGCCTGTAATCCCAGCACTTTGGGAGGCCGAGGTGGGTGGATCACCTGAGGTCAGGAGTTTCAGACCAGCCTGGCCAACATGATGAAATCCTGTCTCTACCAAAACTGCAAAAAATTAGCCAGGTGTGGTGGTGGGCATCTGTAATCCCAGCTAATCAGGAGGCTGAGGCAGGAGAATCGCTTGAACCCAGGAGGTGGAGGTTGCAGTGAACCAAGATCACGCCATTGCACTCCAGCCTGGGCAACAAGAGTGAAACTCTGTCTCAAAAAAAATAAAAATAAGCATAAAAATGAAGAAATGTCTCCTTTCCAAATTTATGAACCTCATCATTCTTCCGTTCACAGCATTAAAAGGTTCAAAAAGACCTTTCCATACTCTCCCACAGAAGCCCTAGAAATTGTCATTTTGTTCATCATTCTGGATGCCTGAGAACTTGTAATCCAATGAGTAGAAAGTTTGGTACCCCATTTATGGCTGTCAACCTGCCAGTTCTCAGGAGTTTGTATAAAAGCCTAAATCCGAAAGGATCTCATCCCATTAGGACCCTTGTCTCCTTTTCTGTTGCCTTTGCCCACTGGCTCTGGCAACAGGGGTCTTTCTTTCTCCTTGGCTATCTTTGGATATGGGGGCTCCGTCTTCTGTGCCACCTTAGGGAATGCCTTTTGCAGGCATGGCTAACTCATTAAAAAGCCTACAGTTTCAGTAACATTTTGAGTGAGCACTCTCTGAAGCTGCGTTGGAATCTCAGGCTTCTTTGTCTGGAAGATAACTCTTGGGCTACAAGTTTCTTATCCTACCTTTGGTTTTGAGGCCTCTCTGTTCTCCTCTTGGGTTGGAAGTTATTCCTGGCTTTTTGTTTCAAGGTGTCTGTGATCTTGATCTTGCTGCTTTCATGGGAACTTCTCACTTCACTAAATTCTCCCTTCTCAAACCTCTGCTGACTATGTGTTCCACCAATATGGAACTAATTCTACTTCTTTTCCTGTTTGCATGACTTTACTAAGAATTATTTACAACTTTAATGGCTCCTTTGAGAAAATTTTTATCTTCCAAATTGCCTCCTTTTAGACCTTTCCTTTCCCAGTTGAGTCTCTCAACTCCCTATAATCACTGAAACTTCAGGCACCCCACTCCATGCCTTGGAGGCTCTCAATGTGCTCAAGAATCTGCAAAAGCAAACACCTGGGGCTGAAGAATAAAATAGAAAAAAAATTATTTCTCAGCCTCCATAAGATTCTATGTCAAAAAAAAAGAAAATCTTTAAAATCTCCAAAAATATTGGTGAGAAAAAAGCCTTAGCCCTCATATGAAGAAGAAAAAACTTGTTCCATTTTCCAGATACATAGTTATAATACAAATATAAAATGGGGCAAAGACAAAAACCAAGTCTTCTATATAAACTAGTGAATTGTGTAGTTATTGTAATCACATTAGTCAGGGGTCTCCAGAAAGGCAGAATCAATAGGATATATGTAGACAGATGACAGAAGATTCATTAGGGGAACTGGTTCACATAATTATGGAGGCTGAGAAGTTCCACAATAGCCTGTCTCCAAGTTGGAGAACCAGGAAAGCTGGTAGCATGGCTCACTCCAGATACAAAGGACTCAGAATCGGGGAAGCCAATGGTGTAACTCTGATTGTGAGGCCAAAGGTCTGAGACCCTGAAGTTCTGATGTCAAGGGCAGGAGAAGAAGGATGTTTCCATTTCAGAAGGAGATAATTCACCTTTCCTCTTCCTTGTTATTCTATCTGGGCTCTCAACCAATTGGATGCTGCCTGTATTCATCCATTTTTATACAGCTATGAAGAAATACCTGAGTCTGAGCAATTTATAAAGAACAAAGGGGTTTAATGGGCTGACAGTTCCACATGGCTGCAGGGGCCTCACAATCATGGCAGAAGGGGAAGCAAAGCTGTCCCTCTTCACATGGCAGCAACAAGAAGTGCTGACCCAAAGGGGAAAAGCCCCTTATAAAACCATCAGATCATGAGAACTCACTCACTGTCATGAGAACAGCATGGCGGTAACCACCACCATGATTCAGTCACCTCCCATTGGGTCCCTCCCACGACATGTAGGTATTACAGGAACTACAATTCAAGATGAGATCTGGGTGGGGACACAGCCAAACCATATCAGTGCCCATCCACATTGGGTCATGGTTATCTCAGTGTCTTCCAGAAACACCCTCATAGATATGCCCAGAAATCGTGTTTGACCAGCTGTGTGTGTCTCTCAATCCAGTCAAGTAGACGTCTACGATTAACCATCAGAATATTTATGCCTGATTCATGGCTGAAATCGTGTTTGACCAGCTATGTGTGTCTCTCAATCCAGTCAAGTAGATGTCTACGATTAACCATCAGAATATTTATGCCTGATTCATGGCTGAAATCGTGTTTGACCAGCTATGTGTGTCTCTCAATCCAGTCAAGTAGATGTCTACGATTAACCATCAGAATATTTATGCCTGATTCATGGCTGAAATCGTGTTTGACCAGCTATGTGTGTCTCTCAATCCAGTCAAGTAGATGTCTACGATTAACCATCAGAATATTTATGCCTGATTCATGGCTGAAATCGTGTTTGACCAGCTATGTGTGTCTCTCAATCCAGTTAAGTAGATGTCTACGATTAACCATCAGAATATTTATGCCTGATTCATGGCTGAAATCGTGTTTGACCAGCTATGTGTGTCTCTCAATCCAGTCAAGTAGACGTCTACGATTAACCGTCAGAATATTTATGCCTGATTCATGGCTGAAATCGTGTTTGACCAGCTATGTGTGTCCCTTAATCCAGTCAAGTTGATGTCTAAAATTAACCGTCAGAATATTTATGCCTGATTCATGGCTGAAATCGTGTTTGACCAGCTATGTGTGTCTCTCAATCCACTCAAGTAGATGTCTAAAATTAACCGTCAGAATATTTATGCCTGATTCATGGCTGAAATTGTTTGACCAGCTATGTGTGTCTCTCAATCCACTCAAGTAGATGTCTAAAATTAACCATCAGAATATTTATGCCTGATTCATGGCTGAAATTGTGTTTGACCAGCTATGTGTGTCTCTCAATCCACTCAAGTAGATGTCTAAAATTAACCATCAGAATATTTATGCCTGATTCATGGCTGAAATCGTGTTTGACCAGCTATGTGTGTCTCTCAATCCGATCAAGTAGATGTCTAAAATTAACCGTCAGAATATTTATGGCTGATTCATGGCTGAAATCATGTTTGACCAGCTATGTGTGTCTCTTAATCCAGTCAAGTAGATGTCTAAAATTAACCGTCAGAATATTTATGCCTGATTCATGTCAGAAATCATGTTTGACCAGCTATGTGTGTCTCTTAATCCAGTCAAGTAGATGTCTAAAATTAACCATCAGAATATTTATGCCTGATTCATGGCTGAAATCGTGTTTGACCAGCTATGCGTGTCTCTCAATCCGATCAAGTAGATGTCTGAAATTAACCATCAGAATATTTATGCCTGATTCATGGCTGAAATTTCAGGATGAAAGCTATGAAATCTCTATTTGTGTTTGTGTATCTATTAATGTATGTTATGTATATGTGATATTTTCTTAACTCCAGAGAGCATTGCAAAATTCATTTATGAAATCCTCTAAAAGTGCTCTATTCTAACTTGGCTTGGAAAAAAATAAGCATTTATAAATAAATATTCACCAAACTCCTAGAAATATAGGAACTGATCAAATGTTTCTTAAGTTAACATGATTTGGATAAAACTTAGTTAAATAAGATTAATATAGTATTTTTGGTGTAATAAAACAACTATATCTTCAAAATTATCATTATTGAATATAAAACAAGCATAAATTCCTATTCTGCTTGAGTTCTAGTCAAATAAGCTAATATTATACTTACTAGAAACGTAAAATCTTAAAGCTTATAGATTTGATTCTAATTAAGTTGTCATTCTTATGAAAAACATTATTTTTTTATGCTGAAAAGATACACATATATTTAGAGTTAGCCAGCTGGACTCAGTTTAGGTGATCCCAATTTTGTTACAACATCGAAAGCATCATAATCAGGAGCAAGTCGAACATATGCCTTGTTCTCCTTATCAGGACAAATCAGGGTGGTGACCTTGGCCACATCACTGTCATAGAGCTTCTTCACAGCCTGTCTGATCTGGTGCTTGTTGGCTTTAACATCCACAGTGAACACAAGCGTGTTGTTTTCTTCTATCTTCTTCACGGCCGACTCAGTGGCCAGCGGAAACTTGATGATAGCATAGTGGCCAAGCTTGTTTCTCCTGGGGGTGCTCTTCCGAGGATATCTGGGCTGCCTCCGGAGTCGCAGTGTCTTGGGCCGCCTGAAGGTGAGTGACATGCGGATCTTCTTTTTTGCGTGTGGCTGCGGACACCTTTCAACACTGCCTTCTTGGCCTTTAAAGCCTTCGCTTTGGCTTCGGCTTTAGGATGAGCAGGAGCTTCCTTCGCTTTTGGTGCCATCTTGTGAAAAGCGAAAAACATTATTTCAAAAATAATTTGTTTACAGTAAATCTGCCTAAGAATAGTTTCCAAAGTATTTTTGGTAATTTTTAACCTTAAAGTTAAGCTAAGTAAAAGATTTGCATTAAATATCTAGACCATTTATAAATAAGATACAATACTAAAACATTAATTACTGAACATAAATAATTCAAGTTTATATACTTTTGGCTTCCTATTTTTACAGAGAGACTAAAGATATTTTGGCCCGTTAATAAACATGTTTTTTTCTGCCACACTGAGGAATTGTATTATGAGGAAACACATCCCTCTAGATGTTGGGAGATGGTATACTCATACATTTTCTAACCTACTATAGAATGCTAATATATGACAGTTTATAACTGTCTACTTCCTAGTTTTCTCTGGAAAATAAAAGATTACTAAGTATTAAAATTATAATCAATATATGTAAATAAAACTACTAGAAATAATAGAATAACTAGAAACAACTCTATGCAAAGCATGCAAGAAAAGTAGGGCATGTTTCGCAAGTAAAGTAGGTTGCATTTTTTATAAGGAAAACCATACAGAAGATACAAATAAAAAGAGATACCTAACCTTCCCTGTGTTATATTTGTATGGGTAAAATGTTATGTTTTCAGAAATTATATAAAATTCCTGGAAGTTTGTCAATGTCCTCCTTATCCATGCTATGTGCCACTATAGAGTAATGAGTCATAATTCCAATTATTACTTTAAATGTTGTGCCAGGCACAGTGGCTCATGCCTATAATCCCAGCACTTTAGGAGGCTGAGGCGGGTGGATCACAAGGTCAGGAGATCCAGACCATCCTGGCTAACCCGGTGAATCTCCATCTCTATTAAAAATATAAAAAATTAGCTGGGCGTGATGGCAGGCACCTGTAGTCCCAGCTACTCGGGAGGCTGAGGCAGGAGAATGGCGTGAACCCAAGAGACAGAGCTTGCAGTGAGCCCAGATCGCACCGCTGCACTCCAGCCTGGGCGACAGAGCAAGACTCTGTCTCTAAATAAATAAATAAATAAATGTTGTCTGCCACAGAAAAAATCGAATATCCTTGTCAGTTGTGGTATAATGAACTCTCATCAGATCTTTCATCACAGCCATTTCATACTTTTTGTCATTTAGATATTATTTCCCCCTGATACTTTCCTGAAAGCTCCTGCAATCAACTACAGGTCAGAATGTTCGTCTCCAAGACAGGACTCCCTCTGAGACTCACAGAAAAGACTATGACAGGTACTCTGGTTATAGGCTTCTGATGATATTGCTTAAATAACTTTAAGACCATACACTTGACTCAGTTAAGGTCTCCAGAAGTCCGGTTGGGAAACTGATGGGTTCATGACACTGCTAACTCAAGATCCACAAGACTGGAATTGATTACATGGCACTGAATGAACTGATGAAAATTGATTATAATTGTATAGCTTTTTGGAGCATTGCTGGTTAATATTCTAGTTTCTGGATTTAAGAAATCTCTTTCTCTTACTCTAACTGTAACTTACAACAATTTAGTAGATTATACTTTTGTAAACAGAAATGAAGCATTTATCTTTTTTTCTTGCCTGATTTTTCCAGAATTTTGAAATCCTTACTGAATACTCTTATTTCCACGATGATATAGTTGTTAGCAAAAGTCCAATAACAATCTATTCACCTTATAACAGGACATAATTGGAAATTTTGGTTATATTATCAAGGTTTTTACTGGAACATCATATTTAGGAAGTGTACCTAAGATCAGTTATGACCAGCAATTTTAAGGAAGTAAGGTTGACTTTTATGGAGACAATGCTTACAAAGCACTGTGGAAAACTTTGAGGAAAGTTCTTCCTCAAAGATTATAAAGTCACAACTACCCACTATTTTTATGTGTGTGTGTGTGTGTGTGTGTGTGTGTGTGTGTGTGTGTGTTCCAAATCACTTGTCCTAGCTTGCTCCAGCATGCCTGGACAGAACTAGACAAGCCCCAGCCCATAGTGCATGCCATTCCTTATTTGGAGATGCTTCCTTAACTATCCCTGGGCAACTTCCTTTTCTTTCTTTCTTCTATTCCCCTTACCTAATTAAGAAAGTTTTAAACAAACAGCCAATCGGGTAAAGTGTAAAATGGGAGGTCCTATTCCAGCCAATGGAAACTGGACACAGCAGTAGGGTAGACACGTCAGGTTATAAGTAACTCTGTCTCCTTTGTTTGGTGTGCTCTTGTAGCTGGACAGCTATTGAGTAGCACCCTTTGTGCAGAAAAATAAAGCTCACCTTGCTAAGAGATCATTTGTTCCCATGTTAGTTCTTTTTTTTGGGGGGGGGGGGGGGACATAAAAAACTTCATTCCCAACAGCACTCTGAGAAAACCCAGCCTGATACCTAGATTACAGGGTTCACAGCCTTATAGGTTAGTAAGCAAGGTCATTTCCTGGTAGGCCCAGGAATTTAGGGATATTTTGGGGCCTCAAGAAGAGAAGAATTCACACAAAGCTATAAGGACTGCAGCTGAAATTTGATAGTATGTTCTTGGCTTGGCTTTTAGCCTGAATAAGGCTAAATAAAAATAAGTCAAATCTGAGATTCTGTATGAAAACTTCCAGCAAAGAAACCTGAAAGCACCTATGTGGTCATCTCCTGTTCTTGCTGCACTTACGTAAATAATCAAGCAAAATCTAACAAAACTAGACTTATTTTTAAAACAAGAATAGTCTTACTTTGATTATGATCAAAAATGATGGTTACTACAGAGAGAAATTTTATCTTTCAAAGGAAAAGTATAACACAGCCGGGCATGGTGGCACATGCCTATAATTACAGCCCTTTGGAAGGCCAGGAGTTCAACATCAGCCTGGGCGACATGGTGAAACCCCATCTCTACCAAAAATACAAAAATTAGATGGGCATGACGGCATGTGCCTGTAGTCCCAGGTAATCAGGAGGCTGAGGAGGGAGGAACGTTTGCACCCAGGAGGTAGAGGTTGCAGTGAGCTGAGACTGCACCTTTGCACTCCAGCCTGGGCGACAGAGCCAGACCCTGTCTCGAAAAAAATTTTTTTAAAGGAAAACTATAGCCATTGTGAGTTATCAGATTCTAGTCTTGTTTCTTGTTTCTGGGCTATTTTTACCTCTTTTTAAACTGGATCCTGCCATCTGATGAATTTTGTCCCACAATGATACTTGGGGAACAAGAAGCCAAGTATTGTCTCTCCTACTAATGTATCTATTGTCAGTTAATTTGAAGGTCTCCAACCCTGGAACAAAGTTAGAAGAGGTAGGTTCTGCTCCCCAAAATGCATAACCAAATTGTGCTACATTCATGTAATGGAATACTATTTAGCCATAGAAAGGAACAAGATATCAACACACACAAAGACATGAGTGAATCTTGCATGCACATTGCTAAGTGGAAGAAGACAGTCTGAGGAGGATACACACAGTGTGACCTCATTTAATGAGACACTGGAGAAGGCAAACTACACAGATGGGAAGCCATTGGCTCCATGGGGTGGGGGTTTGAGGCATTCCATATGATACTTTAATAGTGGGATATCTGCCACAATGCATTTGTCGAAATATGCAGAATTTTACAGCCAAATGGTTAAAGCAAACTCTATTCAAATTAAATCCAATTACTCAGGATGTGGAGTATCCCAGGACAGAATACATCATGTGAAAAAGAATTTATGCTACAAATTACTATGGTTTGGATGTGGTTTGTCCCCACAAAAACTCATGTTGAAATTTGACTCCCACTGCGTCAGTGTGGGGCGGTGGGGCCTAGTGGACGGTGTTTGGGTCGTGGGGATGGATCCCTCATGAATAGATTAATGTCCTCCATGGGGGTGAGTGAGTTCTGTTCTCACAGGAATAGATAATTCCTGCAGGAGCAGGTAATTAAAAAGAGCCTGGCTTCCTTGGCTTCCCTCTTGCTTTCACTTCTGCTGTGTGATCGCTGGTGCACCCCTTGCTCCCCTTCCACTTTCCACCATGAGGTGAAAAAGACTGAGGCCCCGCCAGATGCAACTGCCCAATCTCAGACATTCCAGCCACCAGTATTGTGAACCAAATGAAACTGTTTTACTTATAAATTACGCAGCCTCAGGTATTCTGTTACAGAAGCACAAAATGGACTGAGACACAAATCTAGGTAAAAACTTTGAAAATGAATAGAATCTGTAGGCTGAAGGCACATGAACTATACTTCATTATTGGATTCCATTTTATAAAGTTCTTTCCAACAGAAGCAATTGTGAACAATTGTAAAACCACAGTGTCTGTATCTGGAATAAAACAATGACTTACATAAGTCGCAGATGGTGGGAACCAGGTTTCTTACTGTTGAAGTGGGAGGTTACAAATTAGCAAGGCGAGAAGGCTAGAATGATTCATGTGATAGTAGATCAGAGGTGGAGACATCAATGTAAACTTATGTTTAGTTTAATATAGACACACACAGTTCTACATAGAAAACTTTATAATTAGGTGTGTATAGGTAGGTTAGACACACACATATACTTCCTAGCATTGCCAATGAGGGAGAAGATACAATGTGCTCATTCAGCAGCCAGATGTAAGTTTTCCTACCATTCTGAAAGGAATCAGGCTCTTTGAAGAAATGTCTGATACTAGAACTGGGACAGTAAATATAGGAGCCAAGATAATCTGGAAGTATCAGAAAGTAAGTACTAAAAAAATTAAAACATATCAAAGAAAAATAAGAGCCAATAAAAACAGCTACTGATGGCCAACACAGGAATGAATTGTGCAACATAATACTGTAGTGTTGAATAATAACTAAAGCTTAAAGTAATTATCTAGGTGTCTGTATTTGTATACCTAGGTGAATAAGCAAATGGAGTTGCATAGAAATCTCCTTTGCAAAAGAATTCCAAATAATTGATGTAGACACTCAGCCGTCAAGAAGGTGGAGCCAACTCCTTACGGAGTGAGGCTCTGCATAGTGACTTGCTCCAAAAGAACACATGCAGTACGGACAAGGAGGAGAAATAACCTCACAGTGGAGAAACCTGACAAACATTAGCTCTGCCAAATGATCCAAGTGAACATCAAAGGTGACAGTTCACCTTGAGAACATGAAGTGACAATGGGGGACATTCTACAACATTCCTGACCAATCCTCCTCAGTGCTATGAAGGTCATCATGAGATGGAAAGCCTGACACACTGTCACAGCCAGGAAGAGCCCACGTGATGTCTACATGTCATGCGGGATCCTGGATGGGATCCTGGGTCAGAGTAAGATAGAACTAAGGGAATCCAAATGAAATATGAACTTCAGTTAATAATAGTCTATCAGTATTGGTTCATTAACTGTGACAAATTATGTAAGATATTAATAAGCCATGTGAGACACACTGATAGGAGATGTTAATAAGAGAGGAAACTAGGTTGCAGCTACATGGGAAATCTCTGCTTTTTTTTGACAATTTCTGTGTAAGTAAAAAAGATGATGTAAAATAAAACTTTATTTAAAACACTGTTTTTTTTGAACACTTCCTTGTTTAATTATTTATACCATGAATTACTAGTAATTGACACTGTTAACTAGTCCTGTTTTTTTAAATAAGAGTATTTATGACCCAAAAAATTAAACAGTGCAGACTGATACATAAATCAAATGTTCTTTACATGTTTTCTGTTGCAGTAGTAACACACATGTGTAAACTTAATTATCACGTTTTTCTTCTGCTGTGGTTGTGTCCTGAGTTCATTCTCTAAAATGCTGTTCACCTTAGACCAGGAAAAATATTAACCATACAGACTCTGTTTTAATTCATAGCTAAATATTTTCAAAAGAGTGACTTTGTAAAAATATGTTCCAATGGCAAATTGATTCATTGTGATGGGATCACTTATTCCAAAGACTTCCTGTCTTTATTTTGTTGCCATGCCTACCTTTTAGCCATGATACAACAGAATCAAATATTGGCCACTGGGAAAAAATATTCAAAGCAAGAAAGAATGTGAACAGAACTTATGACCATGATGATTCAATGTTTTACCACAATGCTTTCTAAAACAGAAGAGTGTAAAAGGATATTCAAAGTCAATTTCCTCAGCGAGGCTTTGCAGAAAATGAGGAAACTACAGAAACAAAAATGGCAGGACATTCTACGGGTGATTTTAAATGTTGCTATGTTTTATGGGAAAAAAATACTTTACCTTTTAAAGAATCACAAAGAATTATTGGAAACCCAAACTCTGGAATGTTTGCAAATTTAGTTGAGCTTCTATGTAATTATGTCTATATAGGTAGCCAGGAAGTTGATGATTTTTTAAAAATCTGTGCCTTATTTGTGTGATAAAATACACAATGAATAATTAATGCTCATAGGAAAACCTTATGAAGGGAAAATAAATCTTGGGGAATCAAAATCACTAAGCTAAAGGGAAAAGTCAAGCTGGGAACTGCTTAGGGCAAACCCGCCTCCCATTGTATCCAAAGTCACCCATCTGCTCACCGAGATAAATGCATACCTGATTGCCTCATTTGGAGAGGGTAATCAGCAATGCAAAAGAATGAAACCATTTGTCTCTTACCTACCTCTGACCTGGAAGCCCCCTGTCTGGCCTTCTCACCTTTCTGGACTGAACCAATGTACATCTTACACGTATTGATTGATGTCTCATGTCTCCCTAAAGTGTATAAAACCAAGCTGTGCCCCGACCACCTTGGGCCCATGTTGTCAGGACCTCCTGGGGAGGCATCACGGGCGCACATCCTCAAGATTGGCAAAATAAACTTTCTAAAAAATCTGAGAGCTGTCTCAGATTTTCAGGGTTCACACATGTAATGTAGGATGTCAATGTTTATAAAACAGACATTATTCTATCTACTATTAGAAATATGCTGCCAATTAACCTTACACTTTCTCAACAAAATAAAAAATGTTGATGAGGTACAAATAATATATCTAAGCTTAGTGTTACAAGTTTTAATATGCCTACTTTTCAATTTTTCAATACTATTTTTACTAATTTAACACTTTAAGTGAATAACTAAAACATGAATAAGTGTTTACAAGGGGTGCACATGTTTCCTCCAGCCTCTGCCTATCCCCAGCTTTCATCCCAACTGTCTTGATGGTGGCTCTAAGCATTTCTCCTTTCTCTATGCCAAGATCTCTCCCAGAAACAAACCCAAATCTTACTATATGTTATGGCACGCTATGATGATGAGCAGCGATGAGCAGCCGAAGCCTCAAGGAAGGGATGCTTTTGTAAAACAAGACTCGTAGAATATAACGTGTGAAAGTAAAGCACATGGCAGAGCTCCCTCCTCAGCACACGGGGAGCAGACAGGAAGCTTTTGCCTCACCTTCCTCAATGGCCTGCAGCCACGTCTCCCAGGTCAGTCTTAAGGACAATGAAACTCTGGTCTTCACTGTGGACACGCCACACTACCAGGTGCTCCAAAGCCATGGTGACCCACCCTCGGGTGGGTCCTGAGAACAAAGCTCTGGTTCTAATCCTAACCCTAACCCTGTCCCAAGACTTTGAGCCTGAAGCTAAATCCTGATCCCTACCCTGGTCCTTAATTCTGACCCTTACTTTGACCCTGACTTTGATCTTGACCCTGACCATGACCCCACCTCTAACCATACTTCCGGCCCTGACTCTGACCCAGATCCTAATCCTATGCCTAACCCTATTATTATCTTTACAATCTATCTCTACTCTTACCCTCTAGTGCTAAATAGCTGTACCCAAAAGCACTTTTAAATTATTTCTTTTCTTGAATTCTCTATGGACATCCTAAAGGAGATGTCAATATGTATTGCATTCCCTCTGAGTGGTATGGCTTCAGATATGAAGTTCTAATACTTTGCAAGACATAAAAAGTTTGGAGGGTAACAGCACTGGGTTGTTAGGGATGTATGTTGGCATTCATGATAGTCATTGGTGCTGTTCTCCAAATATTTTCAGTTCATTTTTTATGAATGCATTCTGACTGTTCCATCCCACCTACTTAAATTTTCCCATGGCCACATGACTTTTTTTTTTTTTTTTTTTTTTGCCGATGGAGGTGAGAAGAAATAACATGTGACTTTTTCAGGAGAAATCTCCAAGAAACAGCGTTCTATTCCGCATGCTTTTTTCTCTTTTCTATAGCAATGGGGATCTTGACGGTCCCTCCTTCCTTCTGGATTCCTGTGTTAGGATGACACAGCACAGAGCTACCTCTCACCTGACCAGTCATGAGATGTAAATAAATGAGGAAGAAGATTTTTGAGCCACTGAAATTTGGAGGTTGTTTGTCACCACAGTTTAAGCTAGCCCCCACTGACTGATGCACGGCTGAAGAATGAGTCCGAACTGGCTCTGGACAAGACATGTGAAGAGCGCTCCAGGCTGAGTAAAATTCAAGGGTTGCCTCAAAGATAACAGTGAGCACGATATGTTATTGGGGTGGGTGTGGGATAAATAAGGTACATCAGGTGAGAATAACAAGAAACTCAACTTTAAAAGACGGCGCTGATTTGCACTGTGGAGAGATTCAAATGCCCTGCTTAGCATTTGAGATTGTGATGGATGAACAAACTAATTAAGAGCCCAAAATGAAAGCTGGGGATAAATATCTGAAGGTGTCTAATATCCCAGTTTTTCATCCTAGAATGGGCAGAGTCCTTGACCCCATTCTAGGGAGACTTCCAAAAGAAAAAAGACCTGCATTTCTTCAACAACCCACACTGAGAGACTTTCCTGCACTTTTGTGACCTGTGGCTAACACTCCTCACCTTTCATTCTGTCATCAGTGTTTTGGGGAAGCACCTTTAACTCTCTGTGATTTACAGGTTATTAAGTGGCCCTTACAATTCGCTCCAGAGATGGAAAAGACATGATGATGGTGCCTGAGCTCACAGCAGCAAGCAGGCGTGTGTGCTCAGCAGCCACGTGGCTCATCTGCTAGGAGCTTGCTAAACACGATGTTCTACAACATTGCTTAACGCAAGGGGAGACGCTCCTGACTCAGAGGGTTTAATTGCTCACCTACTTCTTTTTCTGCCCTCTTGGGCTTCTGAAATGAAAAGAACCCTGGGGTGATACAGTGAGTCAAAGGGGTGCCAGCCGCATCACAGCATAATAGATTCCTAAAAAATCCCTGGCCTAATATGACAGCCTTGGCTGGATCAGTTTGAATGTGCTGATAGTGGACACGGTAGAATGAAGCTGGTTGAAATGTTCATATTAAAGAACTTCTACCCAGATTGCAAGAAAAGAGAGAGGAATGGAGATGGCAGCACGAGTCCCTACAATAAAAGCAGATGTTTTGAGATCAGTTATATTTCTTCTGACAAAAATTAAAGACAGAAACCAAAGTTTAGCCTGAGTCTACAATTAATTGGGCAATAAGCCAGAGGCACATATGGCATAGACAGATTTAAACATTTCTCCCTTATATTAATACAAACACTAAAATTACAAATACATGGATTCCAAATAAAACAAATATTTTAAAAATTTAATGAATAAACACTGGGGTCTACAGTAGTATTTGAAGGAGATCTCACAAACAGGTTTGGTTTTTGAAGGTTAGAACTGGTGGTCTAGAGAATTCATTTCATTCCAGAGAAATAAAGAGAGGAATTTCTTGGGTTCCTTCAGGAATGCATCTAGCTTTGCCTCATCTTTGTTTGAACTATGGATACGGCAGAAGAAAACATGAGGATTTCACAGATTTAAGGTGCAAAAAGTCACTGGGTTCTCTAAGAAGTCTGGGATTCTTCTGCTGGAAAAATAAGTTTGTTGAGAAAAAATGAGTTGGAGGAGGCTGTTATTGAAGTGAAGCAGAATTGTTTTTACTAATCTGCTTATTACCCACTCTGTAGTGTGGAAACAAATTATTCATGCACAAGGTCCTCTTACTGTTCCTAGAATGCAGTGGAAAGAGAACAGATTAGTTTTCCTCCCTCAGAACACAACCCCTAGAAACATCCTACCTCAGATGAGATATTGCCTAATTATTTTCAAAAGACAGTAAAACATCATGGATGTAAATGTTTGCTGCAAAATAAATATGTGCTAGAAACAGAAGCATCTGGGTCACAGCTATATTAGAGCTACCTGTGTTCCCCTGTCACTGACATTAAAACAAAAATGTCCAATACGATCCTTCACAGCGTGGGAGAGGGGAAGATGAAGGATGGAAAGGCCAGGCATAAAAGGATTTCAGAATTTCCGTCCATAAGGAAGTGGCTTTGCGCACTGTCTGTTACTGCGTGCAAGGTGAAATTTGAAGAATGAAAACGTGCAGTAACAAGGGCTCCTTTGTCCAACTCACCTCTCCAGATACCAAGTTTCAGACATGTTGCATTTTAATTGAAAGGTTGATATAATTTTTTTTAAAGAACACTTGCGGTGTTTGAAGTGACAAAGGCTGCTGTGACCAAAAAGCAGGGAAAGGGAATTTTTTTTTAAAAAAGCAAACAACAACAACAAAAACCCCACAGAAAAGCAAACAACAAACAAACAAAAAACAGAGGAAGAAGTCAAACACCCTGGGCTGTGACTACTTCCAGGAAGGGGCTACAAGAGGCAGTTGGAAATTCTATTTGCTTTGCAACTGTGGGTTTTCTGGCCTGCTTCCTTTCTAAAGTATATTACTCTGCTTTTGGTTCATGAAGTTATCCATTTCTGTTTTCTGGAACAGCTATGTATTTTCTTTATCTATCATCTATCTATCTGTTTACCATCTATCTTTTCTGCCTTTCGCTATCAAGAGCTTGGGTCAAGCAGGATAGAATTCCAGTGTATGTTCACTCTACCATTTAAAACAAGAGCTCTTGTAGGCATTCTCCATCACATCATAAACCTGAGCTTTCTAAAACAGAGTGTGGCAAACTACCATGCATGGACCATGTCTGACACAGTCTGCGTTTGTAAGTAAAGTTGTAATGGGACACAGCCAATACATGTGTTACATAATGTCTCTGGCTACTTTCATGGTATAATGGAAGAGCTGAGTCATTGAGAGAGAGACCATATGGCTTGGAAAACTTGAAATATTTAACATTTAGCCCCTTGCAGAAAATATTTGCTGACTCTTGTTTTAAAAGATCTCTGTTTAGAATGCTACCTATTGCCTTCTGGATAGAATCACAACTCTTTACCACAATCGACACAGCTTCAGCCCTGCTTCTATATCCAGCCTCATCTATTTCTGCTCCTCCTCCTTATTTTCCTTCTGGACATGCTGATGGATTGTCAGCTTCCCAGATGTGCGAGAATCTCTCCTCCCTTCCCAACATTCTCACAATCTCCCTCTGCCTCTCAAGAACTTCCTGTCCCATCTCTCATGACAAATCCTTTCTTCATTCTTTAAGATGCAGCCCCTTGGCTCTTTCCTTAAGGATGTCTGTCTGGCTCTATTTTGGGTGACGTGCTCCTTCTGCATCTCCCAGAGCCAGCCGGTGTGTGTCAGCTACAACATTTCTTTGCATCTCTGTGTCATATATCACCAAATCTGCCTAAGCTTGCATGAGTCACCGCATGACAACTTCAGACTCCACCAGCATTGTCCCCACTAACCACAAGGCTTAGACATTCGTCCAGTATGCTCGGGGTTGTGGGGTGGTAGCAGTAACCAGCTGGTGACCATCATTTCTTACATCAGAATCAAATCTGTAGATCTCTGCCATTCATAAGTATTTGGAGTTTAAAATTAGCATAAAGATTTTCCTTAAAATAAGAACAAATGGCTTGAGTAGGCTTTTGGAACGTAGGATGTTTCCACTGGTTCATGTCTGTGTTCAGTATTCCCACATGAATCTAAACACGACTCTGCTCTTAGTAGCTGTGTGACCCTGGGACAGTCACTCAGTCTCCCTCAGCTAAATTTTGTTGTGTGAGTAATGAGGAGAGAGTTGTGATTTGTATTTAGTGAATAATAACAAACAAAAGGCATTTAGCTTTCTGGAACCTGGTATGTAGTAGAACCTCATGAAAATACTAGCTCTGTTGATAAAACTAGACTGAAAAAAGCTTTCAAAGTCAACAACAGTATGAGGCAGTGAAGGACGTAGAGGAGAAGCTGCTGCTGCAGCCTGTAGCTCCTGCAAGCCCGTTTTGTCCATGATTTAGCAGGAACGCATTACCTTTCCATGAGGACACTGCCCACAGAAACCAAGGCCATTCTTTGAAGACAAACATGTCTTAATAGCCTTTACATTATGTAATAGTGTAATACAAATAATAATTTATTATTAGTAATAATGTGAAATTATTTACAGTACCATAACCCTAACCATAACCCCTAATCCTAACCCTAACCCTAACCCTAACCCCTAACCCCTAACCCTAACCAACCCCTAACCCCAACCCCTAACCCTAAACCCTAACCCTAAACCCTAACCCTAACCCCTGACCTTGACCCTAACCCTAACCCCTAACCATGACTCTGACCCTGACCCTAACCCTGACCCTACCCTAACCCTAACCCCTAACCCTCACCCCCCACCCTCACCATCACCCTAACCCAACCCTAACCCAACGACTGTAAGCCGTTTACAGGAAACTCAAGCCAAAACACTACTTGTTTCCAACGTTTTGTTTGCAGAGGATTTACAAATTACACTCCAAAACAAGATAGCCACAGAGCATACTACTTCTCCTCTGAAGTCGCTCTGAGGGCCTCCGCATCAGTCCTAGAATTGGAAGATTGGTGGACAAGAACTGGGATGTTGATGGGGCACTGAATATTTGCTGGACACCAACCTCCTGTTACCTAACCTTACAGAGGGCCCAGATCTCACCTGCCCAAATCAGACATTTTAACACACACACCTCTCAACAGCAGGACTTACAGACACAAAACTCTGAGGTAAAGGATTGTCTCAACTCCCTGGTGTCTCAACGAACTAAAACACTGCCTAGCGCAGGTGCACCATCAACCTTATTCACTAAATACACCTCTGTATATATTCTTCATCTTTGATTGTGGAAATGATATAATCAACATAAAAATGTTTTATAGATTGGACTAAAGACCTTTGAGGTCTCTTCACAGGATCCTATCTGGCGGACCCCCAAATCTGCCAACACAGAGGTCATCCGTAAACACGTGCAGGACAGAGGCCAGACAAAACCATCTCTCTCAGCCTCAAAGTGGCCTGGCAGTCACATGTGGGGTCTGGCCTGTATGAGGAAGTCAGGCTTTCGGCTCCAGGCACCCTACTGCACCGCAAAACCAAGTTCTGCCTAAGAAACAAAAAACAGCCTGCTCACTCTCCCTAATATCCCAGGTGGTAACCTAAGAGCATTATCTGCTAGACACCCCTCCTCCTCCACCCTCCATGTCCAAGCTATCACCAAGGTCCTAGCAATCTTACCTCCTAAATGTCTCCCAAATCCACTTCTCTCCCTTCACTGTCCAGGCCACCAGCATGACTTCTGCATGTGTGTAGCAGCCTCCGCGCAGGACGTAAAGATGCAAATCTAGTCGTAGGCTCTCTGAAAGGAAAATTTTGGGGACCCAAAATTACTAAGCTAAAGGAAAAGTCAAGCTGGGAACTGCTCAGGGCAAACCTGCCTCCCTTTCTATTCCAAGTCACCTATCTCCTCACTAAGATAGGTGCATATCTGATTCCCTGCTTTGGAGAGGCTAATCAGAAACTCAAAACAATGCAACCTTTGTCTCTCACCTACCTGTGACCTTGGAAGCCCCCTCCCTGCTTCCAGTTGTCCCCAGCTTTCTGGATGGAAGCAACGTACTTCTTACATATATTGATTGATGTCTCATGTCTCCCTAAAACCAAGCTGTGCCCTGACCACCTTGGGCACATGTCGTCAAGACCTCCTGAGGCTGTGTCACGGGTGCACCTCTTTCTAAATTACCTGAAACCATCTCAGATAGGGTTCACACATCCCTTTCCCAAACCCTCCCAGGAGCCCCTCGTGGGCGCCCAGGTCCTGCGTGCTGTTGTGGCCCAGGCTCACCTGGAGCAACTCGACTCTTCGTTACAGCCTCGTGAACCTTTCAGTTCCTAAAGCTGTCTAGCCTGTGAAAGGAAAATGAATCTGGGGGCCCCAAAATCACTAAGCTAAAGGGAAAAAAGCTGGGAACTGCTTAGGGCAAACCTGCCTCCCCATCTATTCAAAGTCACCCCTCTGCTCACTGAGATAGGTTAATATGTGATAGCCTCCTTTGCGGAGGCTATTCAGAAACCCGAAAGAATACAACAGTTTGTCTCTCACCTACCTGTGACCTGGAAGCCCCCTCCCTGCTTCGAGTTGTCCCGCCTTTCCCGAGGGAACCAACGTTCATCTTACATATATTGATGTCTCCTGTCTCCCTAACATGTATAAAAGCAAGCTGTGTCCCGGCCACCTTTGGCACATGTCAAGACCTCCTGAGGCTGTGTCACGGGCGTGCGTCCTCAACCTTGGCAAAATAAACTTTCTAAATTGACTGAGACCGTCTCACATATTCGAGGTTCACAAGCCCATGCATGGGGACGTCCCCTGGGGTAGCGCCCCTCCTCCACTGAGCTCACTCGCTTCCCCCTTGTGTGTTTTCTTCAGAAGAAATTTCGCAGCTACTTGGTCCACACCTGTCTGCCCCACAGGAACCTCTCTTCTCCACAGGCACATGGGCGGCGTACCTGCTGGGCTGTGTGGAGAGGACCGGGTTCCTCTCCTGATTCCTGCTCAGTTAATAACGAATGTCGACAAGTCGAGAAAATTGCTCAAATTTACCCCATCAAAGAATTAAAAACTGGTGAAAGCTTGACCTGCGCCCCCCACCCCTGACGTGCTCACCGCTCCACTCCCTCTAGGCGGGCGGCACCCGCTGAAGCCTCGGTACCACACCCACAGCCAGGAGCCCCAGTCCCGCACTCGGCCGCATGCGCACTCCCTGCGGCCCTCCCGCCAGGCGCCGCGCTGGGCAGCCAGCGCCCCGGCGGGGTCCTTCAGGCCTTCGGCCGGGCAGCCTCCCTCGGGGTCCTTGTGCGGTTGCGTAGCAGCTGCGAGGACGCGGGCCGAGCCGGAAGTGGAGTGCGCTGCGGCGCGAGCTGGGCCGGCGGGCGTGGTTCGAGAGCGCGCAGAGTCCAGACTGGCGGCAGGGCCCGAGGGGCCGACCCGCAGCGTCCCTGGTCTCTCCAGCCCTCACTCGGAACCGCACGTGAGGGCAAATCCGCCCCGGTGGCTGGCTTAGCACGCGGGGACAGCCCCTCCGAGGCCTCCCTAGCGGTGTGGGCGAGAGGGCGTCCGGGTCGGGGGAAGCACGGAAAGGTGGCTTCGCGAGGCTGTTGTGGGGGGCGGGACGGGCAGCCTGGCGATGCCTGGACATGGTTGGTGGCCAAAAACATTTATCGAAAGATAGCTTACCCACTTAGATGGCAAGGACACGGACAAGCAAGTCTTCGCCCGTAAGCGGTGGCTCACGCCTATAGTCCAGGGATGCCGAGGAGGGAGGATCGCTTGAGTCCAGGAGTTGGAGGCTGCAGTGAGCCGTGATCGCGCCACCGCACTCCAGCCTGGGCGACAGAGTGAGACCCTATCTCTAAACAAAAGAAAGAACGTCTTCAAGCATGGAGCCATGAAGCTGGATTTGGCTTTCTGTCGCTCTCTCTACAGGGTACAGGTGAAAGGGGGCAGACCCCTCATCATGCTTTCCAGGCATCTGCCACTTCCCAGGAATTGTCTCCCTGGATAAACAAGGCGAAGTCCCTGGCTGTGCAGAAGCAGTAGCTGTGTGGTGGCACAGTCAGGAAAACTCGGGGGCCCTGTTGGTATTTTCTACCCCTGACCCGTGTGCATACTTCTGTCGTAGCTCTCACCACAGTAGACTCTGCTATCATTGTGTCTTCCATCCTCTGAACCCTGTGCAAGGTCTGCTCATGGTGAATGCCCAGTAAGGCTCACCTATTGCTGCTGTCTCATCATCATATCATTTCTATGTGCCCCCCTAGCTAAGAGTCTGGACTGTGGTTACATTCTCAGGAATGTTTGCAAAGTCATATTTAGGTGTGAGGAGAGTAAAACAGAGCTAGACATAATGTTGCACACAGCCTTTGGCACTGGATGCCTGGTGAATGTCTTGTGCAAATGGGTAACGTGAGGAGCAGCATTTGGGGTGCGCAGGACTTAACTATTTGTGTATAACATATTATTGATGCCTGTGTGTCATACTCTGCTACTCCAAGTCTAGTAGTCAATTGCATACCATATCTCAGTCTGGCACTGAGGGAAGCAGTCTGGAGGGAGGTACAGCTGGAGATTTGGTTGAGGGGACTTATCTCTGACAACAGCCTCTTGTTGATCTTCCCAGACAGTGACAATACCCTCCCCTCCCTTGGGCTGGACCCCTCTCTACAGCTAGGAGCCAATGGCAGAAGACAAAACCAAACCGAGTGAGTTGGACCAAGGGAAGTATGATGCTGATGACAACGTGAAGATCATCTGCCTGGGAGACAGCGCAGTGGGCAAATCCAAGTATGTTGGGAGATTAGGGAATAAATACCAGCCCCAGAGAGGGTCCAGGTCATTTAAAAAGTCCTCCAGAGGCAGAGGAGCATGGCTTCTTGGGGCTGGTGAAGGAGCAGTCTTGGCTGGAGCCCAGATGTTCATGGGGGAACGAGGGGAATCACGTGAGCCGTTGTGTGTGTCAGGTGGAGGGGGCAGGTCATAAGGACTGAGGAATTTGAATGTTTCCTCTGAGCCCTGAGAGAACGTGTGGAGCAACTGAGGACATTGTATGTGGTTTGTGGGCTGAGGGATGGCAAGGGCGGGGAGTGGGAATGGAAAGACAAAAGTGACTATGCCACCGTGACAGATTGGGTAAAGGTGGTAAAGATGCTTTCTTGGAGGGACTCTCTGAAATAGAGAAAACTGGGTAGAACTGACGATTGACTATAATCATTGTGAAGACTGGCTTCTTCTTGTAATGAATTTCGGTGCCTACGTGCCACCCGGAGAGGTGAAGGGAGGCTCTGCCGTGCTGCCAGCTTGTCTCCATGAGACGTCCTAGTTCTCACGCCTAGGACTGCTGAGGGCACATGTCCATTTCTGCCTTCATAGCATGACGGTACACTTGCCCCTGCCCAGAGAAGTGGTCACGTTTATCTCCCAAGTACTCCAGGCCCACCTTGGTTTCTACCTTCATTTTTATAATCAAGTCCTTTGACTCAGGTAGCTGTGAATAATTCTCTGGGGGCTTTGCTGGTTTTTAGGCCATCTCCATGAATTTGAATTCTCTGTCTCTCTCTCTCTCTCTCTCTCTTCCCCACCACACAATCACATACTGCAGCTCTGGTTTAGTTTTTTTTTTTTTTTTTTTGAGACGGAGTCTCGCTCTGTCCCCCAGGCTGGAGTGCAGTGACGTGATCTCGGCTCACTGCAAGCTCCGCCTCCCGGGTTCACGCCATTCTCCTGCCACAGCCTTGCGAGTAGCTAGGACTACAGGCGCCTGCCACCACACCCAGCTAATTTTATTTTTGTATTTTTAGTAGAGACGGGGCTTCACCTTATTAGCCAGGATGGTCTTGATCTCCGGACCTTGTGATCCGCCCACCTCAGCCTCCGAAAGTGCTGGGATTATAGGCATGAGCCACCGCGCCCGGCCTCTGGTTTAGTATTTTATAGTTACTTTGACCATCCTCAACAGCACGCCTGTACAGTAAAAGTGAGGGTAGGTGTTGTAGTTTGGGAAGGTTACCCAATAAATAACACCCCCTTTATCCCCACTCAAGTTTAAAAACAACAAAGAATAGAAATGGCAGGCAGGTGTAAAGCAAATTGCCACTTTAATAACAAACAGAACTTTCGGAGAATGTATCTTGGTATACCCAGCTCCCAAGTTCAATGCTAGTCTCTTTATATGCCTCATTTCAAACAGTAACAAAAAATAAGAATCCAAGTAGTTAACTTGACGTCAAAGATTACCATAACATTGGCCTCCACAGACACAACAATTAGAAAACAAGGCAGTCTTCATCCACTAGCAGTATCTCAGGCAAAAGGTTGTCCCAGATACAAAGACCATGGTGGAAACAGTGCATCTGAGGGAAGGTGAGTGCATGAGAACACTGTGGTTCAGTTTTGACTGGACTCAAGAATTACTGCCAATTTTCAGTGTCTCTAACCTATGAATCTAAACTCAGTTGGGCTAAAACACCCATTAAGAGGTTAACACATCCAGGCTGTGGTGAGCTATGATTGCGCCACTGCACTCTAGCCTAGTGACAGAGCAAGACCCTGTCTCAAAAAAAAAAAAAAAAAAAAAAGTTAACACTTGTGTTCATCATATCTGAAGGGCGTCAGTTGTACACGGCCTCATTTCTAGAGAGCAATGTTGTGGCAGTGCGGCCTTCTTGCAGAGTTCAGAAATTTACAACAGTAGCAGCCCCAGTCACCAGGCTTTCTTTAAGGTGCCTTTTTTTTTTTTTCTCATGCAGCATGTTCATGCTTCTTGATTCCACTCAGGGCTCTGTTGGAGGGCTCTGATGACAGCTCCCCTACCCCCTGTGAACAGGTGACCTCAGACCTGGGCACTGCCTCCTGTGGAAGGCTTTTCCTTTGCTCCTGCACATGCCACCTTCCTGAGCTGCCATTACAGGCATGAGCCACTGCACCCGACCAGATTTCTTTTGACCCCAGGTGATCATACTGCTTAATAACAAGACATGGTTTTTTGTTTTTTGGAGACAGAGTCTTGCTCTGTCACCCAGGCTGCAGTACAGTGGGGCAATCTCGGCTCACTGCAACCTCCGCCTCCCAGGTTCAAGCAATTCTCATGCCTCAGCCTCCTGAGTAGCTGGGATTACAGGCATGCGCCACCATGCCTAGCTAATTTTTTTGTATTTTTAGCAGAGGTTTTGCCATGTTGGCCAGGTTGGTCTGGAATTCCTAACCTCAAGTGATCTGTCTGCCTTGGCCTCCCAAAGTGCTGGGATTACAGGTGTGAGCCACCGCACCCGGCCAACAAGACGTGGCTTTCTGATTCCATCTTTAAGAGTAGTTAGGTCCAGATGTGTTGTCTTTTTTCTTTGATAGCTGTCTAACTTGGCCTTTAGGGTCTTCCATTCCCGTTAATGATTGCCTATCATCGTTGTGCAAAGAGGGCAAAGGCACACCCCCCCCACCCAAAACTAAGGCCACATGGTGTGAGTACAGACTAGGGTGATGGGGGAAACTTACAAGCAGAAAAGTCACACCATGTGACTCCCTGGGTCCCAAGCTCTCATTATCCTGAGGGAGTTGTGCTTAGGCCACCAGTGACCAGTGCCTACTCTAAATATTTTTGGGAAAAGAAGACAGGGAACATCTGCGTATGTGACAGTGACAGAGGCAGCTTCCTAGAGCCTCCGGAGGTAGGCCTGCTCTGTTTTTGAGCTCAGGCCTGCCGAGCTGGTTCTCTGCTAAGCTGCAGAATGTTGGGAGGGAATGAGTCTCTGGGGCCTCTTTTTCCCTCCTTCATCCTGTCTTCCAGAGGCAACTTTTCCTTAAGAAAATCCCTCTGTGCCTGTGTTTTTATTCTTCCACTGCTTCTGCTTGGATGAGGCAAGTTTATGGATCTCTCCTCTTCCTCCTGCACTTTCTGAGCATGTGCCCTCTCAAGACAGTGTTCTGAGCTTGAGTCTTTTTCATTGACCATCTTAACCTCTGGCCGCGGTAATTTCTTTGTGTAATTTTCTACGTGATCTAAGAAGATGATGTGTTTTCTTTATAGTAAGGGTGCTGTTTCTTTATAGTTATAAATAAAATCTATCCTCCTTTTACAATTCAAGCTGCAGTTTAAATATCAGAAGTATAAAATCATGGTTAGAGTGTATTACACTGACAGGCAAGCAGTGACCCTTCAAAACGTGAGGGAAAAAAGGTTGCAATGTCAAGAGAGTGGTCAGGGAAGGCCTAGTTGTAAAGGTAACATTGGGTCAAAGACTTGAAAAAAGCAAGGAGTAAGCCTTGCAGATATTTGGCAGGAGCATTTCAACAACAAAAGGAGGAAATGGCCAGTGGCTAGAACAGAGGGAGAGAAAAGAAATGGGAGAGTTTGAACTGAAAGAAATGGGGAACCACTGGATGGTTTTGCAGAGAGGAGTGACCAAGTCTGCCTAATTTTTTCACGGGATAACTGACCACATTCAGAATAGATGGTCCTCTCAATAACCAATAGATCAAGCAGATTCTCCTGTCTCAGCCTCCTGAGTAGCTGGGATCACAGGCGTGTGTCGCCACACCTGGCTAATTTTTTGTATCTTTAGTGGAGACAAGGGCTTCACCCTGTTGGCCAGGCTGCTCTCGGCCTCCCAAAGTGCTGGGATTACAGGCGTGAGCCACCGCGCCCGACCGGGAAATGGCTTTTGAACGGAAGGCGCAGCTTTGGCCTGGCCTCTGTTTCCCTTTGCATAACACAAGGGTAATTGCATGGGCAGAACTGTGCTCTGGTGGAAATAACAGATTTGAGAGCTTCACGTGGGCTGGTGTGTGTACTCATAGTGACATGAGCTGTTTTGTTATGACGGGTTGGTAATGCTGATACCCAACTTCCAGACTTGACCCGGAAGCTGTGTGGCTGTGGAGTGAAAGGGGGAAGGGAAGCCACAGGTGGCTTCCAGGTTGTCAGCCTTAGGGTGAAAAAGTCTGGGACGAGGGAGAGATGGAGACGCCATCTGACCACCTTGCCTGTTCTGCTTACAGACTCATGGAGAGATTTCTCATGGATGGCTTGTATCCTTCAAGGTTTGAAGTACCCCTTGTTCCTGTGGGTCTTCCCACGCTCATGTATCAGTGTCCCACTGCCCACACCTTTGTACCAGCAGCCCAGGAAGGAGGATTGGGTAAGTGAACGCACAGGTTTTGTTCCGCACTTGTTTCTTGCCGATTGACCCACATGGCATTGCACAATCAGTGCTGTATATTTTGGACCTTACTCATATTTGGATTGTTTTATATTAAGAGGGCAGTAGAATGGCAAACAGCAAATGGTTTGGATCTAATGCCTGGATTCAAACCCCACCTCCTCCTCCTCAGTAGCTTCTGATACTGGCCAAGTCATTTAACCTCTCTAACCTCAAAGCTTGGGCCCCCTACTATTGAAAAAAATCTCTGATATGAATGAACTTTGTAAAATAGGAGCTGCCAGCCCCACCTTTCTCCCATGAATTGTTATATTACATAGGTTTGGAGTGAGTTCCTCCCCGCAACTGGGAGATTTTTAAACAGCTTCCCAAGTGGATCCACTGAGAACCACAGGTGAGAGGAGCCCCTGGAGCCTGCTGCTGCCTGTCCTAGGCTCGGCACCCCAAGGCTCAGTTGCCTTAAGATCTGAGTATGTGTTACTCCACCTTGTACCAAGTGCTCCTGCACACCCAGCCCACCTGCGTCATTTGGCTCTGCTTTTTACACTGTCCGGCTTCTTGCAGCCTCGGAAGCTGTTAATCCCCAGAGTTTAACCCTTTTTCTCAGGGTTTCACACATAGACAGACTCCAAATTGATTGACAGCTTGTCAGCTGTATGGCTTGTGGGAGCTTTTGTCCCTGGAATGGTCATGTTGCTACCTAGGGTTAGGGTTTCCTTTCTAGCCTGCGAAAGCTCCATCCATGATTGAGTTGGGGTATCCACATTTGCATTTTCCAACTGCATGATGCCTTTTATGACACTTGTCTGTAAAATCCTGTTCTGTGTTTTACCTCAGACTTCGATGGCCAGGACACACTCCCATCTCCTCCCACCCCTCACCCTTCCATGGAGTTTGTACCAGTGATATGTGAAGCTGATCCTCTGTCTGCAACATTCATTTGATTTAAAATCTCAATAACTCCAAAGAGAAGAGGAGGGAGAGGATCCATTTCATCAAACCAAACACCCCTGCTCCCCACTCCTTCCTTACCTCCCCTTTTATTGATTTTGCTCCTTAACCTGAGTGCAGTCAGCCACAGCAGCTGTCCACGTACGCCCTGACCCTGTACAAGCACACAGCCACGGTAGATGGAAGGACCATCCTTGTGGGTAAGTGGCACAGGGCCAAGACATGCTGACCCTCAGGAAAGAGGAAATGGGAGACGAGGGGAGGTGAGGGAAGGTTCATAAGGAGAGAGTCCAGAGGGAGAAAATGAGACCCCAGGCAGGGACAAGGGGTGCTAGAGAGAACCCAGAGAGCCAGGAGCCAGGAGGGTGGAAGGGGGCATGCAGGGGCCAAGTCCCAGCCCTCTGACCTGGCGTCCAGGCCAGCACCTGTGCAGGACAGGGTTCAGGAAAGGAGAAGTCAGGGGGCTGTACCCACCTCAGGGAAGAAGAACGTAAGAGGCCTTCGACGAGGCAGTAGTTTTCCTAGCTTCAGGGGTTGTTACTCAGCCAGTTTGAAAAAATAAATGTGGTCAGAACATTATCTCCCACATCGGGCTGCGACCTTCCATCGGGTCATAATCTTCTCCTTGGCCGGGCACACAGCCTGCCTGACTCTGTCTACCGTCTGTGGTCAGCGCACGTGAGAAGTTGGAATAGTTTGGAACTTAGAGGACCCTGCGTGTCACGTGGGAAACGGGGAACTGTCTTCTCCCTCCTTGGGCTTCCAGTGTGTTGTCCTTCCTCCTGGCCCCTGACCCACTGTCTTCCCATACACACAGGTGAAGACACACCTCTCACATCACACTCAGGTACACTGTGTCTTGAAGACACACGTGTGGGGCTGTATAGTCTCTGTTTCTCCCTGTGCTCCCCATGTACACTCACACATGTGCTGTGGTTTGTGCCGCATGTGTGTTGTATCTTAGTGACTTGCACAGAAGTGCACCAGGCATGTAGGTCTGTCTGTGTTCACATTGCAGACTTTTGGGACACGGCAGGCCAGGAGCGGTTCCAGAGCATGCATGCCTCCTACTACCACAAGGCCCACGCCTGCATCATGGTACGAGACGGTGGGGAGGTGGACAAAGGCACTGGGCAAGTCTGGCCTGAGGGGTGAGGGGCCTAGCAGCCCTGGGCCCTTGTAACCAAGTCTGGGTGTTGTGGGAGGGGGGCTTAGGGTCACCCGGGGATGTTTCAAACCACACCTGCTCCCCAGAGCTTCTTAGTGAGAAGGTGCCAGGTGAGCTCTCTGTAGGCGGGGATGGGTGGAGAAAAGGTGGAACAGCAAGCTCAGGGCTTCAACATCAGGTGTAGCATCCAAGAGGCAAACATGCCTGAAACAGGGCCACCGTCCCTCTGATGGACCTAACCTGTCAGACAAGCTCCCAAGGCCTCCCTCCACTGTTGCCTGCTGCCTTTCCCTAGGGGGCGCACGCTGGGACTGAGTAGATGCTGCGGGTCCCAGAGAACCTTCTCTCTCAGGCCAGCCCCTCGCCTCCCCCCGAGCCTCCCATTGTGTTGCCCAGGACGCAGTCCTCACGGCTCCCCCTGGTGACCCGGGTGTGGTGAAGCAGTCGCTCCAAGAGAAAAATGCAGCCGAGGAAAGGGCTGAGAAAGGAAAAAGGAGCTCTGTATACCTGTGTCCTGTAGAAGTTCCTACCCGTGAATTCCCTGGCTGGGTTCTCAGGCCACCACTTTTAAATGCTGAAAAGGAGCATGTTTTTCTTTTGGGTCACTTAAAAAACATTTTCATGGCTGGGCACGGTGGCTCATGCCTGTAATCCCAGCACTTTGGGAGGCCAAGATGGGTGGATCACCTGAGGTCAGCAGTTTGAGACCAGCCTGGCCAACATGGTGAAATCCCGTCTCTACTAAAAATACAAAAAATTAGCCGGGCATGGTGGCGGGTGCCTGTAATCCCAGCTACTTGGGAGGTTGAGGCAGGAGAATCATTTGAACCCAGGAGGCAGAGGTTGCAGTGAGCCGAGATCACACCATTGCACTCCAGCCTGGGCAACAAGAGCAAAACTCCATCTAAAAAAAACCCACATTTTCATGAATATCAGCCATCAACAATGCAGAAAGTAATAGACTAGTCTTCTGAATTATTAACCCTAGCAATTGTCACCAAGTGAAAACCTTGGTCACTAAAACTTCTTGGAATAGCATTCAAGGTCTTGCTTTAACACAAAACCCCAAAACTTGGCGGTACAAAACAACCATTTTCTGATGGATCGGGAATCCATGTCTGAAGTCTCAGCTAAGAAGACTCCAAGGCTGGGTTCCAGGCTGGAACTGCCTGGGGCATCTCCCCACACACACACACTGGTACTTGGCTGGACCACCAGCAGGTTCTACTCCCCGTGTTTCTTCGCAGTTTGTCATTTGGGCTGATTTGGGTTTGCTCACAGAGTATCAGCCAAGATCCCAAGATCAAGTATCCAAAGAGAACCCGGTGGGACTTATATTTCCTTTTATGGCCTAGCCCTGGAATATGTGGCATCTCTCTGTCCATAGTCACAGAGGGAAGAAACAGATGGCATCTCTCAGTGGGGAACCAGAATCATATGGTTAAAAGAACACATGGGATGGACAGGTTGCCACCATTGTTGGCATACATTAATAAAGTCTGCCACGGGCCGGGCGCGGTGGCTCACGCCTGTAATCCCAGCACTTTGGGAGGCCGAGGCGGGCGGATCACGAGGTTAGGAGATCGAGACCATCCTGGCTAACACGGTGAAACCCCGTCTCTACTAAAAATACAAAAAAATTAGCCGGGCGTGGTAGCGGGCGCCTGTAGTCCTAGCTACTGGGGAGGCTGAGGCAGGAGAATGGCGTGAACCCGGGAGGCAGAGCTTGCAGTGAGCCGAGATCACGCCACTGCACTCCAGCCTCGGCGACAGAGCGAGACTCCGTCTCAAAAAAAAAATAAAGTCTGCCATGGCACCCCATAGCATTTAGACACCCACCTTTCTAGCCCTACCTCCCACTTAGTGATTGTCTGTAAATACGCACGGCCTTACCTTGGCACTGAGAGAGATGCATGGCTGAGCAGGTGTCATCTCATCTGTAAGAAGCAATAGCAGAGGGGATGCAGAAGGAGCTGCTCTGTTCTGCTCATTGTCACCTGCTCCTCTGCACACCTTCCTTCATGCTCTTCCCTCAGCCTCTCCCCAGCTCACACCCCTTTATTTGAAACTCTGCTCATTTTTCAGGCCCTGCTTCAATGCCACCACCTCCGTGCAGCCTCCTCTGATGTTTGTCATTAGCTTAGCTCTTTCGTGTGTGCTCCTGCACCACTGATCCCTTCCACAACATGGACTGTCTGTGATGCACGTGTGCAGGATGCTGGGAGTGCCCAGGTGGAAAGACACACGTGCTGCCCCCAGGAACTGACTGACTGGTAGGCACAGTACAGATACCAGTGGTGAGGACAGTGAGGATTCTTCCCTTCTGACCCTTTGCAGATGGTAAAGGAAGGAACTCATCACCTAATTCCCCCGACTGCCCCTTGAGAACAAAATCCCTTGAAAAATTCCAAAAGCTTTAACTCTGATAACTGTTAAGGCACTAAACAAGAGGATGATGGGGCAAGGAAAATGGGGGCAGTGTAGTGCAGAAGTCTGACCCTCAAGAGCAGAGGAGCTTGGTCCTAGCCAGTTTGGTTTCAGGCCTACAGTGGCATTTGGTATTTTGAGCTCACCTCTCTTTTTCTCTTGGAGTGACTGCTTCCTGCATCTGCTGCATCTCCGTGGGCTCCCCTCAGACCCTCTTCTGAAGGCCTGGGGTGTCTCTCCTGCCACCATGCCTGTGTCTGCAGGTGCCTGCCACCAGCCCCAGTCTGCTGCACGGGCCCTGGCGAGTAGAAAGCACTTGCCTTCTGACCACACGGGGAGCTGAGGGTCAGAGACGGAACCAGGGCTCGACCCTCCACCTTGAAACCTTGAGATGGGGATGCTCCTCATTCTAGCCAGCTCCTCCTCAGCTCTCAAAACAAGGAACAGATGCTCAGGAAACCAGACCTGGACAAAAGGCATCTGAGCCTGGTGTGAGGCAGATTCCAGAAGTTTAGTTACAGACATCCTTTATAAGGAGTCTTCATCGGGAATTCAAGACAACCTGGTGATTCATTGAAATTTGCCTGTGAAAGAGAATCTACATAGACTTCCTGCCACCTCTTGAGATGTGACAGTTGCTGACCCTCCCGCCACCACACAGGGCGAGCCCCTAGCCCTGAGCTTGAACCGTGTTGCTTGCACAAATAGCTGGGTGATTTAGAAGTGAGGTCAGCTGTGCCAGCGGTTACAGGGTGGTGGTTGTCTGTAACTTTAATCCACTGACTGTTGTACTAGGGCAGTTTGGGCTAGACACTTTGGAGGAGCTCCTGTGAAGGGCATGAAGGCTCACTGTAGCAGCAGCTCAGTTGTCTTTCAGAGTTCTGCCCTTAAGAGCTGGTTTGCAGTGCTCATCCTTCTTGCTGATATTTTAAAATAGGTAGAAACAGGCTGGGCGCGGTGACTCATGCCTTTAATCCCAGTACTTTGGGAGGCCTAGGCGGGCAGATCACCTGAGGTCAGGAGTTCGAGACCAGCCTGACCAACATGTTGAAACCCCGTCTCTACTAGAAATACAAAAATTAGCCAGGCGTGGTGGTGCGCACCTGTAATCCAGCTACTCAGGAGGCTGAGACAGGAGAATCATTTGAAGACAGGAGAATCGTTTGAACCCAGGAGGTGGAGGTTGCAGTGGCAGTGAGCCAAGATACCGCCACTGCACTCTAGCCTGGGCAACAGAGCAAGACTCCATCTCAAAATAAATACATAAATAAATAAAAATAAAATAGGTAAAAACAAATTATAAAGTAATACAATTATGAACTGCAAATAATAAAACATAAAAATTACTTTAAAAAAATTTAAAGAGGCCGGGCACAGTGGCTTATGCCTGTAATCCCAGAAATTTGGGAGGCCGAGGCAGGAGGATCACTTGAGACCGGGAGTCCAAGACCAGCCTCGTTAATATAATGAGAGCTTATCTCTACAAAAAATAAACAAAATTAGCCAGGCATGGTGGCATGTGCCTGTAGTTCCAGCTACTCAGGAGGCTGAGGTAGGATCACCGGAGCCCAGGGGGTGGAGGAGCAGTAAGCCAAGATTCTGCCACTGCACTCCAGCCTGGCTGACAGAGTAAGACCCTATCTCAAAAAACAAAAAGCAGAAAGAACAAAGAAGTAAACAGAAGCTTAAAAGTAAATCAGCCAGGTGCAGTAGCTCATGCCTGTAATCCCAGTACTTTGGGAGGCCTAGGCAGGCAGATCACTGCAGGTCAAGAGTTTGAGACCAGCCTGGCCAACATGATGAAACCCTGTCTCTACTAAAACTACAAAAATTAGCCAGGCATGGTGGTGCGCACCTGTAATCCCAGCTACTCCGGAGGCTGAGACAAGAGAATCACTTGAACCTAGGAAGTGGAGGTTGCAGTGGCAGTGAGCCAAGATAGCGCCACTGCACTCCAGCCTGGGCAACAGAGCAAGACTCCATATATGGAGATCCCTTGAGATCAAGAGTTCGAGACCAGCCTGGCCAACATGGCAAAACCCTGTCTCTACTAAAAATAAAAAAATTAGCCAGGCATGGTGGCGCACACCTGTAGTCCCAGCTACTGAGGAGGCCGAGACAAGAGAATCACTTGAACACAGAAGGCAAAGGTTGCAGTGAGCTGAGATTATGCCACCACACTCCAGCCTGGGTAACAGAGTGAGACTCCGTCTAAAAAAAAAAAAAAAATCAGGGGCAGTTGTGATGGCTAACACTTGTAACCCCAGCACCTTTAGAGGCCCAGGTGGGAGGATCCCTTGAGGCCAAGAGTTTGAGATGAGCCTGGGTAACATAGGGAGAGCCTGCCTCTACAAAAAAAAAAAAATAAAAAAATAAAAATTAATGCGTGCGTGCTACTTGGGAGGCTGAGGTAGGAGGATTCCTTGAGCCCAGGAGTTTTGAGGTTACAGTGAGCTGTGATTGAGCCACTGCATTCTAGCCTGGGTGACAGTGAAACCCTGTCTCTAAAAAGTAAATAAATAAATAAAAGTAAATAGTAACTAAAGTAAAACTCTAGAAACATTTACGGTTACTACAGAGGAACTTTAAAACAGTTTAAGCAATAAATACAAGAGGACTAAAAAACACAAAAGTTTTTACAATTTCTAACAGACTGCATCAATTGGCAAATTGATTCCATTTATGATTGTTAAAATAGGTGAATAAGATTAGATGACAAGATAACAAAAAAGGAATACGTTATTTATTTGTTTATTTCAGACAGAGTTTTGCTCTTGTTGCCCAGGCTGGAGTGCAATGGCATGATCTGGGCTCGCTGCAACCTCTGTCTCCCTAGTTCAAGCAATTCTCCTGCCTCAGCCTCCCAAGTAGCTGAGATTACAGGCATGCGCCACCAGGCCCAGCTAATTTTTTGCATTTTTAGTAGAGACGGAATTTCACCATGTTGGCCAGGCTGGTCTCAAACTCCTGACCTCAGGTGATTGACCCACCTCAACCTCCCAAAGTGCTGGGATTACAGGTGTGAGCCACTGCACTGGGCCAAGAATAAGATTTTTAAAAACATTTTCGCATCTGGAGGCTCCAGGGGGCTTCCCTGAGAAACGGCAGCCTCTGCGGTCAGAGAGGCTGCAATTCAGAGCGTTCCCACAAACAGCACCATGTGCTCGTGCTTACCTGCTTGGGTGTGTGAGTCACCTGGAGATGGGGTGCAGAAACATTGACATACCTGAGCTATCTTTCTTCCTCTGCCCTTTGCAGGTGTTTGATGTACAGAGGAAAGTCACCTATAGGAACCTGAGCACCTGGTATACAGAGCTTCGGGAGTTCAGGCCAGAGATCCCATGCATCGTGGTGGCCAATAAAATTGATGGTGGGGCCATCCCTGCACCTGGGTGTTAGCAATTCACTGGGGACCTGCCCTCATACATTTCCTCCTCCATTCCCCGGGCAGGCAACCTTCAGTGATTGGTCCTCCCTCCCACGATAAGATACAACCCTTGGTTGGTTGCTTGCATTCTTCCCACCTTATAAAGAAGCCAGCTAAGCCGACCTGCCCTCTTTCCAAGACACAGATCCCTATTAACTGAGCTCTTTCTAGGACCTGTTTCCCAATCATCCCTGCCTATCCCACTTTCTGGAATGAAGGCCTCCAGTGGCCCCCCCCTCCAAACCTTCTTCCCTTCCCTTGACAGACAGACCAATGTCCTACCTTCTCTCTACAGCAGACATAAACGTGACCCAAAAAAGCTTCAATTTTGCCAAGAAGTTCTCCCTGCCCCTGTATTTCGTCTCGGCTGCTGATGGTACCAATGTTGTGAAGGTGTGGTTGACTGCAGAGGTAGCTAGCAAGGTCAGGGCGCTAGGTGGTAAAGGGAAGCTGTGAAGAGAAGGGCTTACTGCAGGTGTGATGGAGAGAACCGGGACAGTGCATGGGCATGGGTGGCAGGGAGGGGAGGAGCTGATGGGCCTGGACTTGATGAGGCAGAAGTCCATTGACCATACATAGGTCAGGGTGACGGGGAGAGGCAAATGGAGGGGTAAGGTTGCTGATTTTAGGAATGGAGTATTGTGTAGTCTCACAGTGGGGCCAGTGGGGTGGACTGGGCAGAGTCCAAGGCACTCTCATCCACCATCTCTACCTCACCCCCAGCTCTTCAATGATGCAATTCGATTAGCTGTGTCTTACAAACAGAACTCCCAGGACTTCATGGATGAGATTTTTCAGGAGCTCGAGGTAGGTCAGGTCCACATTTCGGGTGGGATGGAAGAAACGGCTCCTCTTCAGGGATAGGGACTACAACCCAGTAGAGTGACTCTTGCCTAAGTTTGCCCCACTAAATGTATCAGAGCTGCGGTTGAGCAAATGCAGGGCCAGGCCTCACCTGCGACCTTGTTCACAGAACTTCAGCTTGGAGCAGGAAGAGGAGGACGTGCCAGACCAGGAACAGAGCAGCAGCATCGAGACCCCATCAGAGGAGGCGGCCTCTCCCCACAGCTGAGGGGCTGGGGCTAGGGGTGGGTGGAGCCCTTTTAAAATACCCTTCCCTTCAACAACTCTCCAGCTCTGAATGGAGAAACTCTCTAGGCCATCCCCTCTTCTACCTCCTGCAACCCACCCATCCTATTAGCCTCCCACATTCTAGGCCCGTGATACAGGGATGAGGTCAGCACCAGCAAACTCTGGACTGGTGGAAGAATTCCCCACCAGATCTCCTTGAAGCAGAAGTAGGGATCAGCATCATTAACACCTTCCCCACCCCCTCCCCGCAGGCAGACAGTGAAGAGAATCAGAAAACATGATTATGTGTCACTTTAATACAGGAAATTTAGGTGTTTTTTGGTGTTTTTGTTTTTGTTTTTGTTTTCTTTCCAAAGCTCACCTCGGGGACAATTCCTTGGGCTTCTCCTGAGGTAATGATTTACCCCCCCACCCACAGCTGAGTCTGTGAGGCCCCATCCTTTCCCTACGTTTTCTCCCATCTTTTTTCCTCTTCAGTCTCCCAGTCATCTGGTTTGTTTGTTTCTTTGTTCGTTCTGAGACGGAGTCTCGCTCTGTCGCCAGGCTGGAGTGCAGTGGCGCAGTCTCGGCTCGCTGCAACCTCTGACTCCCTGGTTCAAACGATTCTCCTGCCTCAGCCTCCCGAGTGGCTGGCATCACCACGCCCAGCTAATTTTTGTATTTTTAGTAGAGACGGGGTTTCACCATGTTGCCCAGGATGGTCTCGATCTCCTCACCTCGTGATCCGCCCGCCTCGGCCTCCCAAAGTGCTGGGATTACAGGCATGAGCCACCGCGCCCGGCCCCAATCATCTGTTTTTAAACAATCGTTTTTGAGCAGATAGCTATTCATTCCAGATTTTCGTGTACCCATTCTGTTTCAGGAGCTCTTCTAGGTAAAGCTGAGATCACAGGAACAGCAGGTGACAGGCCTAGCTATAGTTAGGAATACACAAGCCGTAAAATCGAGTCCTTACAGCCATACCACAAGGTACGTCCATTTGGACTACAAGAAGAGCTTCCTTTAAAGTTCCTATTTCAGCATAAAGAGGCTGTCCTTTTTTTTGAGGAATAGTTTGGACCTTGTGCCTCCTGTGGGAGGCTGAGGACTGCAAGAGGAGAGCTAGCAGATATGCCTGTTCACCCCTCTCTGGTACTTGTGGCTTGCTAGTATGTTTTTATGATAATCTCGGGCATTGTTTGCATTGTGTTTATTAATAGGGTTTTGTTTTTGTTGTTTCCTTTTTTACAGTAAAGGCTGAATTACATAAACATTGAGTAAATGTATGTGCTTTGTGGCTCTGAAGTGTGTACTGAGCAAAAAGACAAAAGAATCTGCAAATCATCACCCTTATCAATGAGGGGTAGCTGCCTTGACCTGTTGCAGGGTAGCCCATGTTTACTCTCAATTCACTATATTGGAGGCCATTTCAGTGGAATTTAGTGTTTTCAAAAGAATTCAATTACCTATTAATTTGGGAGCTCAAGAACAAGCACATTTCCCCTTGAAATCAGCAATACTTAGATGTTCAACGTAAGATGTTTGACCTGACCAGGGGTTCCCAGGAACGTATACCCTGATGAGGTAGAACTTAAAAAAATGTAGTTACTGTAAATAACTACTAAGTACTTAAAAAAAAATACAACAGCCTTACTGAGATAGAATTTGCAGACTATAAAGTTCACCATCGTGTTGGTTTTATGGGACTATTCTGTATCAGGTTCCTTAGAAGCTGACCCTGAGAAGGCCGTGGTTCAAATGACTTAATTAGGGTCATTCTCAGAAGAGTGAGGGGGGCAGGAGACAAGAAGCTCAGCAAGGTTGTGGTCTCAGCTGGAGGCCGGCTTCACCACCCCACCCCGTCCCAGGGAAGCTCTGGAGGGCAAATTGCCCTCCAGAGTTAGTCCTACCTCAAGACCAGGGGCCTTTTGTGCCCTTCAGCCAAGGGTGTGAGGTGGAAGGGGGCCTTCTGTTTCAGTAAGGTCAGTTCTCTGGGGAAAAGGGTAACTGTGCGCTTCCAACTCAAAGCAATTGGAGGATGAATGTTTAGGCAGGGTGCCAGCAACATCCACAAGCCACCCATGTGTACATTGCTCAGATCCACCTGCTTCTTAAAGTTCATTCCATCCAGGTAGAGCTGCTCCATGTTTCTAACTGGTCACCAGTCCTGGGGGAATGTACAAGAGAAGGGTCAATGGGAAAGGACAAACCATAGCCCCTGCTATTGTAGTTGGACCCCATGCAGAGACTGATACTTGTCACCTCTCATCCTCTGGCTAGCACTTTTGCTGGTCTAGGTTGTTTGCCTGGTGGGTTGATCCTGCTCCTCTTGCCTAATGGGGTCTGAGCCCCTGCTTACTATGCCTTTATGAGGCGGTGGTTGTTAACACTTACATAGTTATATCTAAACATGCAAGTACCAAGAGACAGCATGAATCATCTGAGTACCAAATACATTGCTCCTTCCTATTATTATCTGGCAACATCCTTTCTTCCTAATGACGATTACAGGTAATCACCTCTTTCCAGAATGCTAACTCTGCTTGCCAGTTACAAGCGCATGGACTGTCTAGGAAGCAGCCATAGCTTTGTGTTTAGTGAAACTCTTACTGTATCACTTGGTGGAAATGCCTTCCCCCACTCCCCACACTGCCACTCACAGAGTCCAAGACTTCAGCTCACAGAGCCTAAAGCTGTAGACACAAACACAGATTCCCCAAGTGTGTCACTGAGAGTGCTAGCGAGCGGGGCGCTCCTATGTCCACTCCTTGGTTACTAGACATGTTGGGGACATAAAACCATATAATGAATATTAAGTTGTATATCACATCATGAAGGACCCCATCCTTAAAGGGTATCATATCCGAGATCGACATCTCTGCTATCCACAAAGATAGGAAAGACTCAGAAGTGGAGTGACATCAGGAAAATGGCAGAGTAGACAGCTCCAAACTCCTGTCCCTCTACAGAAACATGGAGAAAAAGCAGCAGAAACTTTACCAGAACTCTGGAAAACAGTAAAAGACTTATATCAATCAGGAAAGCCCTGAAATGAGGAAAGGGCAACTTCAAAGTGACAGAAAAGTGGTGTGGCATTTTCACTTGCCCTTGCCCCACCCCTTCATCAGCTTGATGGTGATCTTGAAGATAGTAGTCCATTTTCCCAATTTAGGACCCAGGTCCCAGGTTCCAGAGGGAGCAAGGCAGACCTTATTCACAAATGACTTTGTTTGTCTATTCTAACCGGTCAGAAACGATCTGAGAGACTAAAATGAGGCATTTGTCTGTTTTGCCCAAGTCTGAATCCACTCAAGGTAGAAAAGTGGCAGGCATTGCTTAAAAACATTCTGAGATGACCAAAAAACCCACAGCTCCCTGGGACAAAAAGTTGTGGTTCAGACATACAATATATTACATAAAGCCTGGGAGGAAAATCTGGGAGAGTTTCTTTGGGAAATCAGGACATTCAAAAAATACTTGTGTTTATTGGGGATTTCAAATGTCATGCACATACCCAGGGCAGGTCACGCATTCAGGAAAGATCTGAGAAGACCCTAAGCTTTTTCCTTTGGAAGATCTCTAGGTCCAGGGTTATCAAGAAGTGAAGGCTAAGACAGAGTTGTTAATATCCTGGTTAGGTGTTGAAGGAATGCCCCAGCACAAAGCCAATCTGCAAAGATTGAAAGAGATGCTTAAAAAAAATTTTTTTTTCAACCACGGATGAATACATAAAGAAAATGTGGCATATACGTACAATGGAACATCATTCAGCCTTTTTAAAAAAGGAAATCCTGGCCTGGCGCAGTGGCTCACGCCTGTAATCCCAGCACTTTGGGAGGCCGAGGCCGGCGGATCACAAGGTCAGGAGATCGAGACCATCCTGGCTACGGTGAAACCCCATCTCTACTAAAAATACAAAAAAAAAAAAAAAATTAGCCAGGCATGGTGGCGGGCACCTGTAGTCCCAGCTACTTGGGAGGCTGAGGCAGGAGAATGGCGTGAACCCAGAAGGCAGAGCTTGCAGTGAGCCGAGATCACGCCACTGCACTCCAGCCTGGGCGACAGAGCGAGACTCAGTCTCAAAAAAAATTAAAATAAAATAAAATAAAAAGGAAATCCTTCCATTTGCAGCAAATATACTAAGTTAAAGAAGCCGGACACAGTAGGACAGATACTACATGATCTCACGTACATAAGGAATCTAAAATATTCAAACTGAGAAGCAGAGAGTAGAATGGTGGTTGCCAAGGGCTAGGGCATTGCTCATTGGGTGCAAAGCTTCAGCTATGCCAGAGGGATGAGTCCTAGAGACCTCCTGTACAGCATAGTGACTATAGTTAACAACACTGTATTACATACTTAAAGATTTACTGGAAATAGATCTTATGTTAAGTGTCCTTATCACAAAACATAAGAATTAGAAATGAAGAGAGAGGGAGCAAACTTTTTGAAGTGATGAATATGTTTATGGCATTCATTGTGGTGACGTTTTTATGGGTATATACTTACTTCAAACTCATCAAGTGGTATACCTTAAATATGTATATCGATAAAATGGTTTTTAAAAATACATGAAGCAAATGCACATTTCTCCAAAGAAAATATACAAATGGCCGATAAGTACATGAAAAGATGCTCAACATCATTAGTCATGAGAGAAATGCAAATCAAAACCAGAATGAGATGCCACTTACTGGTAATGAAAAAGATAATAGCAAGTGTTAATGAGGCTGTGGAGAAATCGGAACCCTTATACACTGCTGAGGAGGAAGTAAAATAGTGCAGGCACTTTGGAAAACAGTTTGGCAGTCCTGGAATGGTGAAACATCGAGTTAACCATATGATCCTGCAAATCTACTCCTAGGTATACACTCAAGAGAAATGAGAACATGTGCTCACAGAAAAGCTTGTATATGAGTGGTTATAGCAGCACTATCCATAATAACCAAAAAGCTGGAAATAATCCAAATATCCATAAAATGTGGTATATCCACACGATGAAATATTACTCAAAAATACAAAGAAATGAAGTGCTAATATGTGCTACAACATGGATGAAACTGAAAAAAAAGTATGTTGAATGAAAGACGCCACGTATAAAGCACCGCAGGTTGTGCGATTTCATTAATATGAAATGTCCAGAACAGGCAAATCTACAGAGACAGAAAGATTACTGAACAGAAAGATTACAGACAAAAATAACAGATTAGTGGTTGTTTAGGGTGGGGGGGTTGCCGGTGAAGTTGGGAAGGAATTTGGTGGGGGCCAGGAAGCTAAGGGTACAGATTTTCAAGTAACGAGAATACTTTAAAATTAATTGTGGGTGGGTGCAGTGGCTCACGCCTGTAATCTCAGCACTTCGGGAGGCCAAGGAGGGCAGATCACTTGAGGCCAGGAATTCAAGACCAGCATGGCCGACATGGCAAAACCCCGTCTTTACTAAAAACATTAAAATTAGCTGGGTGTGGCGACACATGACTGTAGTCCCAGTTACTAGGGAGGCTGAGATGAAAGGATCGCTTAAGCCCAAGAGTTCAAGGCTGCAGTGACCTATGATTGCACCACTACACTCCAGCTGGGATGACAGAATGAGACCCTGCCTCTAAATAAAATAAATACATAAATAAATAAGAGAAGTCCAGCAGCATATTAAAAGGATAATACACATGACTAAAGTGGAGTTTATCCCAGGAGTGCAGTGTCAGTTAAACATTTAAAAATTATTTAATGGGGCCAGGCGCGGTGGCTCACGCCTGTAATCCCAGCACTTTGGGAGGCCGAGGCGGGCGGATCACGAGGTCAGGAGATCGAGACCATCCTGGCTAACACAGTGAAACCCTATCTCTACTAAAAAATACAAAAAAAATTAGCCGGGCATGGTGGCGGCCACCTGTAGTCCCAGCTACTCGGGAGGCTGAGACAGGAGAATGGCATGAACCCGGGAGGCGGAGCTTGCAGTGAGCTGAGATCGCACCACTGCACTCCAGCTCGGGCGACAGAATGAGACTCCGTCTCAAAAAAAAAAAAAAAAAATTTAATGGGCCTGGGCACGGTGGCTCACGCCTGTAATCCCAGCACTTTGGGAAGTCAAGGTGGGCGGATCCCGAGGTCAGGAGTTCGAGACCAGCCTGGCCAACATGGTGAAACCCCGTCTCTACTAAAAATACAAAAAATTAGCCAGGCGTGGTCGTGGGCGCCTATAGTCCCAGCTACTCGGGAGGCTGAAGCAGGAGAATCGCTTGAACCCACGAGGGGGAGGTTGCAGTGAGCTGAGATCACACGCCACTGCACTCTAGCCTGAGCCACAGTGCAAGATTCTGTCTCAAAAAAAAAAAAGTATTGGAAGCAAGAAAAGGATAAACTAAATCTTGCGGTACTGGATAAGAGGTGAAAGTATTATTGTGAACTCTCATTTAGCTTTATATATATATAAAATGGATAGATACAAAAACAATAATAGATACATGTGTGTACATGGGTTAGTATACAACATATATTACCTAACTGTCTCATCCAGCTTTGAGGGCTTAGAAGTAATACATCTCAGTATTGACAAGCACACCCAGTGTCCAGATCTTAGTTTCTAAAAAAACACTTTCCAGTGAAAAAACCAGATTACTTTAGAGAAATGGTGGATTCCAGGGTTGAAGCAGGGGAAATGCAAAATGAGCCTGTAGCACCTTATTATATCAGAAAGGAAGGATGTGCTCAACAAATGAAATGAAGCCGGGAATGAAGCCACAGGTGCACTGGCTCACACCTGTAATCCCAGCACTTTGGAAGGCTGAGGTAGGAGGATTGCTTGAGGCCGGGAGTTCAAGACCACACCAGCCTGGGCTGTAACATAGAAAGAACCTATCTCCATAAAATAAAAATAAATTAGTAATAATTTTTTAATTTAAAAAATGATGAAGGCATGTCAAAGGGACTCAAGAGCCAATATGAAAGGGCTCCCAATGGGCAAAGCTGGAAAAATGTGAGCAACAAATTATATAATGTCATATTGGTTTATAGTCCACTGTATAAAATAAATATACATTAGGGCTCTACACTAATATAATGAATAGATGAATAATAAGAGACAAATCTTTCATACAGAAAAATTAAAAATACTATGTGTAACTCCTGCCATCTGCAGGGGGTGGAGCCAACACCCCCAACCACCATCACTACAGAGAATGGGCTGGACTGAGTGGCTCACTTCTAAAGAAGCACTTATAGAAAGCGAACAGTGATGAAACCCAGAAAACACTGCCCTGACCAACGGATCAAGGTTAATGTCATCACTGTTGTCATATGTATGTTGTAGACTCCTGATAGGATGTGATGAGGATAATTTGTCTCTATGAGACTCTTTCCCAAAATTCATAATCCCAATATAATCATGAGAAAAATATTACACAAATTCAAATGGAGGGATATTCTACAAAATACCTAACTATCCCTCAAATTTGTCAAGGTCATATAAGAGCAAAGAAAGACTGAGAAATAGTCTCAAACTAGAGGAGTAAATCTGTAACAATCTGTGACTACTATAAATCTAAAGTTGTTCTAAAATAGTTTATTTAATACACCAGATTAACAAAGTAAAAACAGAAAAATTACATGATCATCTCAATAAATGTAGGAAAAGCTGGCAAAATTCAACACTCATTACTGTGTAAAAAATAAAAATATAAACCTCTTAGCAAAAATATAAACCTCTATATTTTTCTTAGAGAATAAAATATCCTCAGCCTAATAAATGGTATTTGTGAAAAACCCACAGTTAACATCACACTTAATGGCAACAGACTGAAGCTTTTCATGCTTAAGCTCAGGAACAAGAATGTCCACTCTCACCACTTCCATTCAGCATTGTACTGTGAAATAAGGCAAGAAAAACAAGGGCTTTCAGATAGAAAAACATAAATAAGGTTGGGCATGGAGGCTCACACCTGTAACCCCAGCACTTTGGGAGGCCGAGTTGGGTGGTTCACCCGAGGTCAGGAGTTCGAGACCAGCCTGGCCAACATGGTGAAACCCCATCTCTACTAAAAATACAAAAATTAGCCAGGCGTGCTGGCACATGCCTGTAGTCCCAACTACTCGTGAGACTGAGGTAGGAGAATCACTTGAACCTGGGAGGCAGAAGTTGCAGTGAGCCAAGATTGTGCCACTGCACGCCAGCCTGGAAGACAGAGCGAGACTCCATCTCAAAAATAAAGAAAGAAAGAAATAACACTGTCTTTATTCACAGAAGACTTGATTGTCTATGTTGAAATCCAGTGGCAGCTACAAACAGAGCACCAGAATTAACAAATGAACTTGGCATGGTTTCAAGATACATGGGAACCACACAAAAATCAATTGTATTTCTGTATACTGGCAGTCAACAATTGAATATCAGAATATGAAATATTTAGAAATAATTCTGACAAAATATGTGAAAAACCTGCACACTCAAAATTACAAAACATTGCTGAGAGAAATTGAAGCAGCCCTAAATAAATGAATAGATACCCTGAGCTCATGACTCAGAGGACGCAGTACCGTAAATAAATGAATAGATACCCTGAGCTCACGACTCAGAGGACGCAGTACCGTAAATAAATGAATAGATACCCTGAGCTCATGACTCAGAGGACACAGTACCCTAAATAAATGAATAGATACACTGAGTTCATGATTCAGAGGACACAGTACCCTAAACAAATGAATAGATACCCTGAGCTCATGACTCAGAGGATGTAGTACCCTAAATAAATGAATAGATACACTGAGTTCATGATTCAGAGGACACAGTACCCTAAATAAATGAATAGATACCCTGAGCTCATGACTCAGAGGACGCAGTACCCTAAATAAATGAATAGATACCCTGAGCTCATGACTCAGAGGACGCAGTACCCTAAATAAATGAATAGATACCCTGAGCTCATGACTCAGAGGACGCAGTACCCTAAATAAATGAATAGATACCCTGAGCTCATGACTCAGAGGACGCAGTATTGTTAGGGTGTCATGTCTTCCCAAATTGATCTGCAAATTCAACACAATCACAATGAAAACATCAGCAGATTCTTTTAAGTTAATTCTTTCAATTGGCAAGCAAAAATTGTATATATTTCTGATATACGACATGATGTTTTGATATATGTATACATTGTGGAATGGCTAAATCAAGCTATTTAACATTATCTCACATAATTATCATTTCATTTTCTTTATAGTAAAAACACTTAAAATCCACTCTCTTGGCAATTTTTATGTGTACAATACATTGTTATTAACTATAGTCACCATGATGTGTAATACATGTCTTGAACTTACTGCTCCTGAATAACTGAAATTTTGTGTCCTTTGACCAAAGTCTCCCAATCTTCCCACCCCCCAGCCTCTGGAAACCACCATTTTACTCTGTTTCTATGACTTAGACTTTACTACATTCCACATATAAGTGACATCATGCATCATGTATCTTTCCGTATCTGGCTTATTTCACCTAATGTCCTCCAGTTCATCCACATTTTCACAAATAATAAAATCTCCTTTTGATGGCTATGTAGTATTCCACTGTGTATATATATCACAGTTTCTTGATCCATTCATCTTGTTGATGGATGCTTAGGTTGATACCATATCTTGGCTATTGTTAACAGTGCTGCAATGAACAAAGGAATGCAAATATTTCTTTAACATACTGATTTCCTGTTGAAATCTATATTCCTTTACATGTATACCCAGTAATGGGATTGCTGAATCTCAGCAGAATTTTTTTTTTTTTTTGAGACGGAATCTCGCTCTGTTGTCCAGGCTGGAGTGCAGTGGCACAATCTTGGCTCACTGCAAGCTCTGCCTCCTGGGTTCACGCCATTCTCCTGCCTCAGCCTCCTGAGTAGCTGTGATTACAGGCATGCACCACCATGTCCGGCTAATTTTTGTATTTTTAGTAGAGATGGGGTTTCACCTTGTTAGCCAGGATGGTCTCGATCTCCTGACCTCATGATCCGCCCACCTCGGCCTCCCAAAGTGCTGGGATTACAGGCGTGAGCCACCGCGCCCGGCCAGAATTTTTATTGTAGAAATCAACAGACTCATGCTAAAATTCATATGGAAATACAAAGGACCTAAACCCGTCAAAACAGCTTTAAGAAAACACAGATGTTGGAAGATGTATACTACCTGATTTCCAGACTTATTATAAACCCATTTGCAGTAAGATGGTGTGGTACTGGTGTCAAGATAAACAAATACATGAAAGGAACAAAATAGCTCAAAAGCAGAGCCAGACATATATGAACGACTGATTTTCTTCAGAGGTACAAAGGCATTTCAATGGAAAAAGGAGAATCTTTTCAACATATAGTGCTGGAGCAATTGGACATCATATACCAAAGAATTTTCAGCCGGGCACGATGGCTCATGCCTATAATCCTCAGCACTCTGGGAGGCTGAGATGGGCAGATCACCTGAGGTCAGGATTTCAAGACCAGCCTGGCCAACATGGTGAAACCCCATCTCTACTAAAAATACAAAAAAATTAGCCAGGCGTGGTAGTGAGTGCCTGTAATCACAGCTACTCAGGAGGTTGAGGCAGGAGAATCACTTGAACCTGGGAGGCAGAGGTTGCAGTGAGCTGAGATCATGCCACTGCACTCCAGCCTGGGCAACAAGAGTGAAACTATGTCTCAGGAAAAAAAAAAAAAAAATTTCAATCCAAGTTCATACCAAATACAAAAATTAACTCAAAATGGATCATAAACCTAAGTGAAAAACCTAAAATTCTAACATTTCTAGAATAAAACATAAAAGAACATTTTTGTGACCTTGGGTTAAGCAAAAATCTCTTAGACCATACACCAAAAGCATGATCCATGATTTCAAGATACATGATAACCACACAAAAATCAATTGTATTTCTGTATACTAGGAATCAACAATTGAGTATCAGAATATGAAATACTTATAAATAATTCTGATAAATAAATAAATAAATAATTCTGACAACATATGTGAAAAACCTGCACACTCAAAACTATAAAACATTGCTGAGACAACTGAGGAAGTCCTAAATAAATGAATAGATATACCAAATAATATGTAACAATAAAGAATACAGTGATTAGTTGTACTCCCTCAAAGTTTAAAACTGCTGAGCTCCAAAAGACACCGTTTAGAGAATTAAAAAGCAAGCTCTGACTTGGAGAAGACATTTACAATGCATACAGCTGACAAAGAACTTACATTCAGCACGTAAAAAGAACTCTCAAAACTCTATAAAAAGATGACAACAGAAGTTTTTAAATAGGCAAAAGATTTGAACAGACACTTCCCCAAAGAAGATATATGGATGACAATGAGCACATGAAATATGCTTCACATCACCAGTCATTAAGCAAATGCAAATTAAAACCACAATGAAATATTATCACACACCTATCAGAATGACTAAAATTAAAAAGACTGACCAGGGTGGTGGAGCCAAGATGGCCCAATAGGAACAGCTCCGGTCTACAGCTCCCAGCGTGAGCGACGCAGAAGACGGGTGATTTCTGCATTTCCATCTGAGGGTTCATCTCACTAGGGAGTGCCAGACAGGGGGCGCAGGACAGTGGGTGCAGCGCACCGTGCACGAGCTGAAGCAGGGCGAGGCATTGCCTCACTCGGGAAGCGCAAGGGGTCAGGGAGTTCCCTTTCCGAGTCAAAGAAAGGGGCGACAGACGGCACCTGGAAAATCGGGTCACTCCCACCCTAATACTGCGCTTTTCCAACGGGCTTAAAAAACGGCACACCGGGAGATTATATCCTGCATGTGGCTCGGAGGGTCCTACGCCCACGGAGTCTCGCTGATTGCTAGCACAGCAGTCTGAGATCAAACTGCAAGGCGGCAGCGAGGCTGGGGGAGGGGCGCCCGCCATTGCCCAGGCTTGATTAGGTAAACAAAGCAGCCGGGAAGCTCGAACTGGGTGGAGCCCACCACAGCTCAAGGAGGCCTGCCTGCCTCTGTAGGCTCCACCTCTGGGGGCAGGGCACAGACAGACAAAAAGACAGCAGTAACCTCTGCAGACTTAAATGTCCCTGTCTGACAGCTTCGAAGAGAGCAGTGGTTCTCCCAGCACGCAGCTGGAGATCTGAGAACCGGCAGACTGCCTCCTCAAGTGTGTCACTGACCCCTGACCCCTGAGCAGCCTAACTGGGAGGCACCCCCCAGTAGGGGCAGACTGACACTTCACACGGCCGGGTACTCCTCTGAGACAAAACTTCCAGAGGAACGATCAGACAGCAGCATTCGCGGTTCATGAAAAACCACTGTTCTGCAAACACCGCTGTGGATACCCAGGCAAACAGAGTCTGGAGTGGACCTCTAGCAAACTCCAACAGACCTGCAGCTGAGGGTCCTGTGTGTTAGAAGGAAACTAACAAACAGAAAGGACATCCACACCGAAAACCCATCTGTACATCACCATCATCAAAGACCAAAAGTAGATAAAACCACAAAGATGGGGAAAAAACAGAGCAGAAAAACTGGAAACTCTAAAAAGCAGAGCGCCTCTCCTCCTCCAAAGGAACGCAGCTCCTCACCAGCAATGGAACAAAGCTGGACAGAGAATGACTTTGACGAGCTGAGAGAAGAAGGCTTCAGATGATCAAACTACTCCAAGCTACAGGAGGAAATTCAAACCAATAGCAAAGAAGTTTAAAACTGTGAAAAAAAATTAGACAAATGGATAACTAGAATAACCAACGCAGAGAAGTCCTTAAAGGAGCTGATGGAGCTGAAAGCCAAGGCTCGAGAACTACGTGAAGAATGCAGAAGCCTCAGGAGCCGATGCGATCAACTGGAAGAAAGGGTATCAGTGATGGAAAATGAAATGAATGAAATGAAGCGAGAAGGGAAGTTTAGAGAAAAAAGAATAAAAAGAAACGAACAAAGCCTTCAAGAAATATGGGACTATGTGAAAAGACCAAATCTACATCTGATTGGTGTACCTGAAAGTGACGGGGAGAATGGAACCAAGTTGGAAAACACTCTGCAGGATATTATCCAGGAGAACTTCCCCAATCTAGCAAGGCAGGCCAACATTCAGATTCAGGAAATACAGAGAACGCCACAAAGATACTCCTCGAGAAGAGCAACTCCAAGACACATAATTGTCAGAATCACCAAAGTGGAAATGAAGGAAAAAATGTTAAGGGCAGCCAGAGAGAAAGGTCGGGTTCCCCACAAAGGGAAGCCCATCAGACTAACAGCGGATCTCTCGTCAGAAACTCTACAAGCCAGAAGAGAGTGGGGGCCAATATTCAACATTCTTAAAAGAATTTTCAGCTTTCCACAGCGCGGGGGAACGGGAGGCCGCAGGATGGTCAAGCTGACGGCGGAGCTGATCGAGCAGGCGGCGCAGTACACCAGCGCGGTGCGCGACCGGGAGCTGGACCTCCGGGGGTATAAAATTCCCGTCATTGAAAATCTAGGTGCTACGTTAGACCAGTTTGATGCTATTGATTTTTCTGACAATGAGATCAGGAAACTGGATGGTTTTCCTTTGTTGAGAAGACTGAAAACGTTGTTAGTGAACAAAACAGAATATGCCGTATAGGTGAGGGACTTGATCAGGCTCTGCCCTGTCTGACAGAACTCATTCTCACCAATAATAGGCTCGTGGAACTGGGTGATCTGGACCCTCTGGCATCTCTCAAATCGCTGACTTACCTAAGTATCCTAAGAAATCCAGTAACCAATAAGAAGCATTACAGATTGTATGTGATTTATAAAGTTCCGCAAATCAGAGTACTGGATTTCCAGAAAGTGAAACTAAAGAGCGTCAGGAAGCAGAGAAAATGTTCAAGGGCAAACGGGGTGCACAGCTTGCAAAGGATATTGCCAGGAGAAGCAAAACTTTTAATCCAGGTGCTGGTTTGCCAACTGACAAAAAGAAAGGTGGGCCATCTCCAGGGGATGTAGAAGCAATCAAGAATGCTATAGCAAATGCTTCAACTCTGGCTGAAGTGGAGAGGCTGAAGGGGTTGCTGCAGTCTGGTCAGATCCCTGGCAGAGAACGCAGATTGGGGCCCACTGATGATGGTGAAGAAGAGATGGAAGAAGACACAGTCACAAACGGGTCCTGAGCAGTGAGGCAGATGTATAATAATAGGCCGTCTTGGAACAAGTCTTGCTTTTCAAACATAGTATAATAGCCTTGTTTGTGTTAGCAAAGTGGAATCTATCAGCATGGTTGAAATGCTTAAGACTGCTGCTGATAATTTTGTAATATAAGTTTTGAAATCTAAATGTCAATTTTCTACAAATTATAAAAATAAACTCCACTCACTGTGCTACCAAAAAAAGAAAAAGAAAAGAATTTTCAACCCAGAATTTCATATCCAGCCAAACTAAGCTTCATAAGTGAAGGAGAAATAAAATACTTTACAGACAAGCCAATGCTGAGAGATTTTGTCACCACCAGGCCTGTGCTAAAAGAGATCCTGAAGGAAGCACTAAACATGGAAAGGAAAAACCAGTACCAGCCACTGCAAAAACATGCCAAAATGTAAAGACCATCAAGGCTAGGAAGAAACTGCAGCAACTAACAAGCAAAATAACCAGCTAACATCATAATGACAGGACCAAATACACACATAACAATATTAACTTTAAGTGTAAATGGGCTAAATGCTCCAATTAAAAGACACAGACTGGCAAATTGGATAAAGAGTCAAGGCCCATCAGTGTGCTGTATTCAGGAAACCCATCTCATGTGCAGAGACACACATAGGCTCAAAATAAAGGGATGGAGGAAGATCTACCAAGCAAATGGAAAATAAAAAAAGGCAGGGGTTGCAATCCTAGTCCCTGATAAAACAGACTTTAAACCAACAAAGATCAAAAGAGGCAAAGAAGGCCCATTACATAATGGTAAAGGGATCAATTTAACAAGAAGAGCTAACTATCCTAAATATATATGCACCCAATACAGGAGCACCCAGATTCATAAAGCAAGTCCTTAGTGACTACAAAGAGACTTAGACTCCCACACAATAATCATGGGAGACTTTAACACCCCACTGTCAACATTAGACAGATCAATAAGAGAGAAAATTAACAAGGATACCCAGGAATTGAACTCAGCTCTGCACCAAGCAGACCTAATAGACATCTACAGAACTCTCCACCTCAAATCAATAGAATATACATTTTTTTCAGCACCACACCACACCTATTCCAAAATTGACCACATAGTTGGAAGTAAAGCACTCCTCAGCAAATGTAAAAGAACAGAAATTATAACAAACTGTCTCTCAGACCACAGTGCAATCAAACTAGAACTCAGGACTAAGAAACCCACTCAAAATCGCTCAACTACATGGAAACTGAACAACCTGCTCCTGAATGACTACTGGGTACATAACGAAATGAAGGCAGAAATAAAGATGTTCTTTGAAACCAACGAGAACAAAGACACAACATACCAGAATCTCTGGGACACATTCAAAGCAGTGTGGAGGGAAATTTATAGCACTAAATGCCCACAAGAGAAAGCAGGAAAGATCCAAAATTGACACCCTAACATCACAATTAAAAGAACTAGAAAAGCAAGAGCAAACACATTCAAAAGCTAGCAGAAGGCAAGAAATAACTAAAATCAGAGCAGAACTGAAGGAAATAGAGACACAAAAAACCCTTCAAAAAATTAATGAATCCAGGAGCTGGTTTTTTGAAAAGATCAACAAAATTGATAGACCGCTAGCAAGACTAATAAAGAAGAAAAGAGAGAAGAATCAGACCCAATAAAAAATGATAAAGGGGATATCACCACCGATCCCACAGAAATTCAAACTACCATCAGAGAATACTACAAACACCTCTATGCAAATAAACTAGAAAATCTAGAAGAAATGGATAAATTCCTCTACACATACACCCTCCCAAGACTAAACCAGGAAGAAGTTGAATCTCTGAATAGACCAATAACAGGCTCTGAAATTGTGGCAATAATCAATAGCTTACCAACCAAAAAAAGTCCAGGACCAGATGGATTCACAGCCGAATTCTGCCAGAGGTACAAGGAGGAGCTGGTACCCTTCCTTCTGAAACTATTCCAATCAATAGAAAAAGAGAGAATCCTCCCTAACTCATTTTATGAGGCCAGCATCATCCTGATACCAAAGCCTGGCAGAGACACAACCAAAAAAGAGAATTTTAGACCAATATCCTTGATGAACATTGATGCAAAAATCCTCAATAAAATACTAGCAAACCAAATCCAGCAGCACATCAAAAAGCTTATCCACCATGATCAAGTGGGCTTCATCCCTGGGATGCAAGGCTGGTTCAACATACGCAAACTGATAAATGTAATCCAGTATATAAACAGAACCAAAGACAAAAACCACATGATTATCTCAATAGATGCAGAAAAGGCCTTTGACAAAATTCAACAATGCTTTATGCTAAAAACTCTCAATAAATTAGGTATTGATGGGACGTATCTCAAAATAATAAGAGCTATTTATGACAAACCCACAGCCAATATCATACTGAATGGGCAAACACTGGAAGCATTCCCTTTGAAAACGGGCACAAGACAGGGATGCCCTCTCTCACCACTCCTATTCAACATAGTGTTGGAAGTTCTGGCCAGGGCAATTAGCAGGAGAAGGAAATAAAGGGTATTCAATTAGGAAAAGAGGAAGTCAAATTGTCCCTGTTTGCAGATGACATGATTGTATATCTAGAAAACCCCATTGTCTTAGCCCAAAATCTCCTTAAGCTGATAAGCAACTTCAGCAGTCTCAGGATACAAAATCAATGTACAAAAATCACAAGCATTCTTATACACCAATAACAGACAAACAGAGAGCCAAATCATAAGTGAACTCCCATTCACAATTGCTTCAAAGAGAATAAAATACCTAGGAATCCAACTTACAAGGGATGTGAAGGACCTCTTCAAGGAGAACTACAAACCACTGCTCAATGAAATAAAAGAGGATACAAACAAATGGAAGAACATTCCATGCTTATGGGTAGGAAGAATCAATATCATGAAAATGGCCGTACTGCCCAAGGTAATTTATAGATTCAATGCCATCCCCATCAAGCTACCAATGACTTTCTTCACAAGATTGGAAAAAACTACTTTAAAGTTCATATGGAACCAAAAAAGAGTCCACATCGCCAAGTCAATCCTAAGCCAAAAGAACAAAGCTGGAGACATCACGCTACCTGACTTCAAACTATACTACAAGGCTACAGTAACCAAAACAGCATGGTACTGGTACCAAAACAGAAATATAGATCAATGGAACAGAACAGAGCCCTCAGAAATAATGCCACATATCTACAACCATCTGATCTTTGACAAACCTGACAAAAACAAGAAAGGGGGAAAGGATTCCCTATTTAATAAATGGTGCTGGGAAAACTGGCTAGCCATATATAGAAAGCTGAAACTGGATCACTTCCTTACACCTTATACAAAAATTAATTCAAGATGGATTAAAAACTTAAATATTAGACCTAAAACCATAAAAACCCTAGAAGAAAACCTAGGCAACACCATTCAGTACATAGGCATGGGCAAGGACTTCATGTCTAAAACACCAAAAGCAATGGCAACAAAAGCCAAAATTGACAAATGGGATCTAATTAAACAAAAGAGCTTCTGCACAGCAAAACAAACTACCATCAGAGTGAACAGGCAACCTACAAAATGGGAGAAAATTTTCGCAACCTACTCATCTGACAAAGGGCTAATATCCAGAATCTACAATGAACTCAAACAAATTTACAAGAAAAAACAACCCCATCAAAAAGTGGGTGAAGGATATCAACAGACACTTCTCAAAATAAGACATTTATGCAGCCAAAAAACACATGAAAAAATGCTCATCATCACTGGCCATCAGAGAAATGCAAATAAAAACCACAGTGAGATACCATCTCACACCAGTTAGAATGGCGATCATTAAAAAGTCAGGAAACAACAGGTGCTGGAGAGGTTGTGGAGAAATAGGAACACTTTTACACTGTTGGTGGGACTGTAAACTAGTTCAACCATTGTGGAAGTCAGTGTGGCGATTCCTCAGGGATCTAGAACTAGAAATACCATTTGACCAGACACCCCATTACTGGGTATATACACAAAGGATTATAAATCATGCTGCTATAAAGACACATGCACACATATGTTTATTGTGGCACTATTCACAATAGCAAAGACTTGGAACCAACCCAAATGTCCAACAACGATAGACTGGAGTAAGAAAATGTGGCACATATACACCATGGAATACTATGCAGCCATAAAAAATGAAGAGTTCATGTCCTTTGTAGGGACATGGATGAAACTGGAAACCATCATTCTCAGCGAACTATCGCAAGGACAAAAAACCAAACACCACATGTTCTCACTCATAGGTGGGAACTGAACAATGAGAACACATGGACACAGGAAGGGGAACATCACACTCCGGAGACTGTTGTGGGATAGGGGGAGGGGGGAGGGATAGCATTAGGAGATATACCTAATGCTAAATGACGAGTTAATGGGTGCAGCACACCAGCATGGCACATGTATACATATGTAACAAACCTGCACATTGTGCACATGTACCCTAAAACTTAAAGTATAATAATAATAAAAGAAAATAAAAAAGGCTGACCATACCAAATCTTGTCAAGGATGTGGAAGAGTCGGGACTCTCATATACTGCTGATGGGACTGTGAAATGTTGCAATCACTTTGAGAAAACACTCAATGTTTTTCAAAAAGTGCTTTTTAACATATACCTACCAGCCATTCCTCACACACATGGTTAGCCAAGAGATATGAACATGTATGCCCATACAAATCCTTGTATTTGAGTGCGCATAGCTGCTTCATTTGGAATAGCGCAGACTGGAAACAACCCAATGTCCATCAATAGGTAGATAGGAAAACAAACTGTGGTATAGCCGTGTGATGAAATACTCAGCAATGGAAAGAAATAAATCACCGATACACAAAATGAATCTCAAAATGATTATGCTGAGTGAAAGAAGATTGATTTTTAAAAGGGCTTGCTATAGGGTTTCATTTATATAAAATTATGAGAAAAGCAAATTGATATGAGACAAAGCAGACCAGACATTGCCTGGGGCAGGAGAGGGGACAGGCTGGAGGGATTGCAAAGTGCCACAAGGAAACTTTAGGGAGTGACGGACGTGTTCACTCTCTGGGTTGTGGTGATTGCTTCAGGGATGCATTTGTATGTCAAAACTTACACCCACCGTATGATCCAGTCATTCCACCCCTAAGTATTTACCCGAGAGACATGAAAGCACATGCCCATGCAAAAACCCATGTGTAGTGTCCAGAATTAGATCACTGATGATTCTTTACCAAGAATAGAGTTTCTGGAGTAAACTCCATTAAGCTAACTTCTGTTTCTTGGTCAGTTTTCTACATATTAAAGATGAACCGTTTTCATTTTTTCACATTTCCATTGTAAATTTGCTAAGATTGGATTCACCAGAACATTTTCCCTTGCAAATATTGTAAGATTTCCTATATTGATGAGAGGCACAGCGAGGACCTCTGCCTCTGTGAGTGTCAATATTGTGCATGATCCTTGCCGCGCCCACTGTTCTGGCATCAGAGTCTTGCCCTGTACAGTTTAGCCACTGTCAAACCATTTTCTTTTATTGTTCCGATCAGTAAGCTTCATTATGAATTCAGTTTTTACAAATATTTTTCATTTGCTTAGCCGTCCCATGAGAAAACAGTGAGCACATCCCTCAGATATCTAAGTGTGCACACCCCTCGGTTGTCTAGGTGGGCACACCCCTCGGATGTCTAGGTGGGCACACCCCTCGGTTGTCCAGGTGGGCACACCCCTCGGTTGTCTAGGTGGGCACACCCCTCAGATTGTCTAGGTGGGCACACCCCTCGGATGTCTAGGTGGGCACACCCCTCGGATGTCTAGGTGGGCACACCCCTCGGTTGTCTAGGTGGGCACACCCCTCGGTTGTCTAGGTGGGCACACTCCTCGGATGTCTAGGTGGGCACACCCCTCGGGATGTCTAGGTGGGCACACCCCTCAGATAGTCTAGGTGGGCACACCCCTCGGATGTCTAGGTGGGCACACCCCTCGGATGTCTAGGTGGGCACACTCCTCGGTTGTCTAGGTGGGCACACCCCTCGGATGTCTAGGTGAGCACACCCCTCAGATTGTCTAGGTGGGCACACCCCTCGGATGTCTAGGTGGGCACACTCCTCGGATGTCTAGGTGGGCACACCCCTCGGATGTCTAGGTGGGCACACCCCTCAGATTGTCTAGGTGGGCACACCCCTCGGATGTCTAGGTGGGCACACTCCTCGGATGTCTAGGTGGGCACACCCCTCGGATGTCTAGGTGGGCACACCCCTGGGTTGTCTAGGTGGGCACACCCCTCGGATGTCTAGGTGGGCACACCCCTCGGTTGTCCAGGTGGGCACACCCCTCAGTTGTCTAGGTGGGCACACCCCTCGGATGTCTAAGTGGGCACACCCCTCGGATGTCTAGGTGGGCACACCCCTTAGATGTCTAGGTCCCTGGAGTTTTGGTTTGTCACACAGCTGGTCATTCTTCCATTTCTCCTGTCACTATGAGCAGGAGACACCTGCTTCACGATCTGAAAGTTTAACCTTTTCAGGGTTAAACTATCCATAGGAACATGAAGGCAGATCAAAGAGCGTCAATTTTAAAAATGAAAATTGGAACATCTATTACATTGGTAAAGATAGACACATTTCGTAAGAACAGTGTCGGCTTAGATGTAGGGAAATGGGCACTCTCATGCATGGAAGGCTAAACATTCCTTCCTAGGAAAGAACTGTGCCACTTTGTCTTCTAAGTATCCCTATTGTGGAAGATCAATTTAGAGACATAAGATGGGCCTGTACACACTAACATAGAAATACCTCTATATTTGCTAAATGGAAAAGCAAGTCATAGAGTAGTGTGAATGGTGAAGGATCAGGAGATTATGTGACATGTCACCATATTAATGTGCATGTGAAGTTTCCAGGAATCACGGCTTGAATTCTCCACCCAGTCTATGGCCTCTCATAGGGTGTTCCTTGAGAGTAGGCCCTGTCTCTCCAAGGAGGCCCAGATGTCAGCTATAGATGATAGGCCCAGGGTAAGATTTTCTCCATCACTGGGGAGAGAAGAAACTAAGGACAAGGAGCATTTATGGGGAGAGAGAACCAAGAAAATCAACTCTGGATCACAGAAAGCTCAGAAGAGAAGCAGTGAAGTCTCTGGGGTAGAAAAAAGCTGCTGCTGCTGTAGCTCCACCCCAACTTGTCCAAAACCCCTTTGTGACCGCAGCACAACTTGCCCCATACTTCCATGTGCTGGCCCACCTGGCTCTGTGTCTGGCTCAGGGTCATTGAGGGTGAATCCCAAGCTGCCGTTGTTACGGCTTCTGCACGGGGCCTTGCATTTTGTATGCTTAGTATTTAGACAATGTCAAGTGTCTGGCACCAGAGTACAAAGGGAGATTAAGAAACTGGCTTTAGGAGAGAGAGCCTAAAAGTCAATAAAATGAATTACCAACTCCAACTTCAGCAGCACCAGCTCTTAAGCCAAGGCAGATAGAATGTTTTAAGTGTGATCAACTGTTACTATCCTACAGAGCCATGGGCCATTCGACTCAATACGCAAGCCCTCCTATGTGGCCAAAGCATTTCAGGGGTCATAAGAGGAAAACGGCAGGCACCGAAGTGCCCCTGCAGATAAGCGTAAGATTATGCACCAGCAGTCACCACCAGCTGGCCCATGAATGACAGCCCACGTTCGTGGGCATTTCTGGTGTGTCAAGACCTGCTTTAATACTCCGCATCTGTCCTTATTTCATGGTCACACAGCCCTCTGGCACATCTTCCCCAGAGCACGGAGCTTATGCGGGGTAGAGCAGGGTATTTGCTTGAACCCAGGTAGACCAATAAATTTTGAAGATGAAGATTCACAGCTGCTCCATCAGTCCAGGTTCCAGCTCCAGCAGGAAAATGACTGGTCCTTTGAGCTTTCTCAGCCAGGGTTCCTCCCACCTGCCATGGCACCTTCTCTCTGCCACCTGTCTTGGTAACCGGGGCATAGGACCACCTTGCGCTTGACTCACACAGGCAGCTAGGTGGACACACGTATGAGTGAAAGCTTGTTGCAATGACTGCTCAGCCAAATGCCAAGGTTTTCTCTCTTTCTGAGACCTGCCATCTTCAGTCTCACAAGGGGTTAAACCAGCAGTCAAGTTTTGCATTTTTACTCCCTGATCAGAGTGGGCGGTTGGCCTGAACCTATCAGGATTTCCTTCTTTTTTTTTTTTTTTTTTTTTTGAGATGGAGTCTCACTCTATCACCCAGGCTGGAGTGCAGTGGCGTGATCTCGCCTTACTGCAACCTCTGCCTCCCGGGTTCAAGTGATTCTCCTGCCTCGGCCTCCCGAGTAGCTGGGATTACAGGCACCGCCACCTCACCTGGCTAATTTTTCTGTGTTTTTAGTAGAGATGGAGTTTCACCATATTGGTCAGGCTGGAGGATTTCTTCCCCAGGATTTTGCAAATAGATGTGAACAGTTCCAGGTGACAGCTGCCCCCAGCATGGGGCAGTGTGGGGCAGGTACTCTATGCAGACCAGGGTCATGCCTTGCCTGGGTTCCTCACCATTCTTGGTGTCTGCTTCTGGCCTTTCCTATTGGTTCTGTGTGACATCTTTGCATCCTTATCACTTAAATGGCTCTAACTGGTTTCTGTTCCTTGCAATGGAAGGTCTTAAAATAAATAACCCCAAATCCTAAGGAAGCCACTCAAAGCTCACTCGGGGGCATCCAAAAAGTATTCCCCATTGCAATTCCTAGAAAGCTCTAGCAAAGAATACATTTTTTAATTTGCTCAAATCCAGGAACTAATAAGATTTAACTACAGGCAAGTAATGAACAGGCTTGTTGGTGTCAACTGGACACTAACAAGCCACAAGCAAAATTGTGTTTGGTAGTAGACACTTGTTTTGGTGGCCTAGTGGCCTCCTTAGCCTTTGTGTTCTGGGGAGTTCAACCTTCATGCAGAATCTTCTCTGTGGGTGTCAACACCACCAGCCTCCTGATAGAAGACTTGGACCCACACCCCCTCTTTCCCCGTCAGCTCACTCACAGCTGCTGCTTTGGGGGTCCACCCCCTTTGACTTGCACATGCAGAGATGGCTCTTTTATTTTCACCATTTGTCGTTTCTCCCTAAGTGTGAAATAAAGACCATCCCCGGTCTACGGCCCCAGGTCACCTTATTCCAGCATTAAAAATCAAGATTTTAAAAAACACGATTGGCACTAATGTACAAGCAATTCCGCCTTATTGTAGGGTGAAGGAGAGAGGGTAGATTTTATAGGGGAAATTTGGGTTGGGAGGGGGGATAGGAAGAAGTCCAGAAAGCATCTCTTGATGTATATGCATGTATACATACAGATATGTGTGTGTGTATATCTATATATATATGTTTATTTATTTATTTCATCTTTCCTTTTTCTCAGGAGTGAAGGGCTCACTGGGTCTGTTGAGAACCAGGTCAGATCAGGAGGTCGAGGTCAGTTCTGGGAGCTCTGTGGTCTCCATGTCATAATGGTTCTTTCCGTCGGAATAGGTCTTCCCCTTCAAGACCTCTATGAGCTGCTGTAGGCGCTTGGCAAAAGAAAGTCCTTGGGGAAGTTTTGTGGTAGATGAGGGTGTAGGTGGGGGTGGGGGTGGGGGTGGGGGTAAAGGTGAGGCTGGAGGTGGGGGTGGGGGCGGGGGTGAAGGTGGGGGTCGGGGCTGGGCTGCCGGTGGTCGGGGTGGAAGTGGTCGAGGGGGCGGTTGGAAATACCAAGGAAGGTGAGCAGAGATAGGGTGGGAGAAGGGGGGTCGAATCGGGGGCGGTCGAGTGGTGGGAGGTGGAGGGGTGGCCGATTGAATCATACGCAAAGCGTTAGAACCAATCTTGGAGGCGATCCAGTTCAGATAGGGCCAGGTGGCCGTGTAGATTCCGGGGCGCTTGGCACGGGCACAGCCTACCCCCCAGCTTGTGATTCCCACGACCACATAGGCGCTTTCCTTGCTGTCTTTGCACATGAGAGGCCCGCCGCTGTCTCCCTGTCCAGAAGGACACAGAGGTCACTATCTGCCTGAGCCACTCTTCCCCTGCCCAGAGGGGTCGGAAGGCTCTGGGAGGACAATTTCCACAGTGACATGGTCTCCTGCTGCTGTAAACACAAGTGGTTGTAGTAAAGTTTGAGGGGGTGTCAGGGGCTTCATTTGGGATGTGAGGAGGGTGTGAATTGTCAGGGCTTTCCTTGCAGTGAGATGAGCAAACCCACGTGTCCACAGGGGCACATGGCAGGGGCAGCCGGTGGCTGTCACCGCTCATCCCCACTGTGAGAGTAGGTGCTAGAAAAGGGACCGGGGAAGCAGTCACTAGAGAAGGGCCCTGGGCAGAGCAGTGGAGATAGTGGAGCTTGGGGATCCAAAAGGAGGATGTTCTCAGGGGCCGGGAGAGTCCTGGAGGGACCCAGGGGCCCAGAAGCCAGAAGGAAGGTTACCTGGCAGGTGTCGATCTTGCCTACAGGATACCCCGCGCACACATTGGTTGGCTGAACGCGCCCATTGTACCACTGGGTCGAGTTACACAAGTCCAGGTCGATGAGATCCACACGTGCCTCCATCAGTATAGATGATGGCCTGGGGGCTATAGTCAGACCACTCGGTGGTCAGTGATCACGGGAGACACGGACAAAAGCCCTGCCTCCTTGCCCCACCGAACCCCATCCTCTGTGATGCTCCAGTTAAACCTCAGACCCATCCAGTCGATGCCCCGACCCCTCCTTATACACCAGAAAGAGCAGACTAGAGGTGGTGGGAGGAGGTGGGGAAATGTTATCCAAATCAAGGCCAGAGGAGAGAGGAAGAGAGGAAGGAAGGGTGGAGGCCCGTGGACAGGTGGATGGGGGGTGGGTGTGCGTATTAACGATGGATTATGGAGGTTAGTTGCAGTATTACCAATAACACCTAGTGTGCACCAAGCACTCCCTGAGTCACATGGTCCCGTTATTCCCATTTTGGATCAGAAGGCTGGAGCACCGCCCACCCAGGTCACAGTAGAGAGGTGGTGGGGCTGCAGCCTGGCCTCAGGACTGCTCCTCTCCAGACTCCAGTCTGAGACACACTGTCCACTCCCACAGTCTGGCTGTAAGCCACTCCCCCTGCTTCTTGTCCCTCTTCAGAACTCCTCGGCTCAGCTGCGGACGGGATCTGCTGCAGCTGGGTCAATAAGTCCCTCCCCATATGCTGCATATCTGTTCCGAGGAGACCGCAGGGGAAGCTCGGGGCAGCGCCTCCACACACGGGCAGACCTGGCAGGGGCAGGGGCGGTTGAAACAACCCCGATGCGGACTTCCTTGAAAGCCCTGGACTTGGCTGGGCGCGGTGGCTCACGCCTGTCATCCCAGCACTTTGGGAGGCCGAGGCGGGCGGATCACGAGGTCAGGAGTTCGAGACCATCCTGGCTAACACGGTGAAACCCCGTCTCTACTAAAAATACAAAAAATTAGCCAGGCATGGTGGCGGGCGCCTGTAGTCCCAGCTACTCGGGAGGCTGAGGCAGGAGAATGGCGTGAACCCGGGAGGCGGAGCTTGCAGTGAGCCGAGATGGCGCCACTGCACTCCAGCCCGGGCCACAGAGCGAGACTCCGTCTCAAACAAAAAAAGAAAGAAAGCGCTGGACTCTCTACCGTGACCTTTGGGTTAGAAAGACCCGATGCTACGGCGCATGCGCCAGCGTTGCTCCTTTTCAAGGGGTCCCACAGACAGAAGGGTCCCCAACAGCAGCAGCCACTCTGGCCCCCACCGCAGCAGCACCTACAACCCTGGGGGTGGATCTGGACGTCACCTGCAGAGCAGATGGGAGCAGACTGAGGTAGGGGCAGACCCAGAACATAGCTGCACAGGCCAGGACGGGAGACAGGGGACACACGAGTGACGTGCATAGGGCTCGGCACACAGCAGGCGTCTGGTAAGCGGCTGCTGAACGAGTGCTCGCTGGCTTTCCGTTTTTTAATCCCCTTAGCCCCCACCTTTTCTTACCATCCAAGCAGCAGTGAGAGTTTTGTACATGCACTGCCCTTGGGGTAGGGGTGACATTGAAACAACAATGACAACAATCCTGGCTTATTAGCCATTAAGACGATTTTTTTTTTTTTTTTTTTTGAGACGGAGTCTTGCTCTGTCGCCCAGGCTGGAGTGCGGTGGCGCCATCTCGGCTCACTGCAAGCTCCGCCTCCTGGGTTCACGCCATTCTCCTGCCTCAGCCTCCCGAGTAGCTGGGACTACAGGCGCCCGCCACCATGCCCGGCTAATTTTCTGTATTTTTAGTAGAAATGAGGTTTCACCGTGTTAGCCAGGATGGTCTCGATCTCACGACCTTGTGATCCACCCTCCTTGGCCTCCCAAAGTGCTGGGATTACAGGAGTGAGCCACCGCGCCCGGCCAAGATGACTTTTTAAGTCTAGGGCAGAGCCCATAGTCTTGAAAGCCATGGGTTTTATTGTGAAGAGCCAGGTGTCCTCAAACAGAAAAGGGTTTTCTAAATCCCAACACCTTGGCGGGTTTTTTTTGAGATGAAGTTTCGCTCTTGTTACCCAGGCTGGAGTGCAGTGGCGTGATCTTGGCTCACTGCAACCTTCACCTCCCGGGTTCAAGTGATTCTCCTGCCTCAGCCTCCCGAGTAGCTGGGACAACAGGCATCCACCACCACACCCTGCTAATGTTTTATATTTTTAGTAGAGATTGGGTTTCACCATGTTGGCCAGGCTGGTCTCAAACTCCTGACCTCAGGTGATCCACCTGCCTCGGCCTCCCAAAGTGCTGGGTAAATTACAGGAATGAGCAACTGCACCCAGCCGACACCTGGGCTTTAAATAACAAATGCTTAAAAGTCTGCAGGGACTCAAAACCCAATGGGAAAGAAGCAATACCCAAGCAATACCCTTCCAGCCCCAAAGCAGATGAGTTGAAGGAGGTGGTAAGACATGGAAGGTTTGAAGGGATCACAGGAGTTGGAGCCTGGGGGTTTCTTTAAGACTTGGGCTTATGGGTACAGGATGTGTTTGCAAAAATGAAAAACAAAAAAACCCCAAACAGAAACAGAGTGATCCTATTAGGTTTATGGGAATTCCAGAACAAAAAAGGTTTTGCATGGCATCCAAGATATAGCTAGGACACTACAATCTGTCTGAGTAATAGAATAGGACAGCAACGGTTGGCAGTGGGGACCCTAAGATCAGCCTCCCAGGAACATAGGGACCCCCAAGAGCTGTGGACATCATCAGACAGGGGACAGAGCATGGCAGGCTAGGGGGCTGGACAGAGGCCAGGGCAGAGCCATGGGTATCGGCAGCTGGAATAGAGGCTGTCACTCCAGGCCAGAAGGGGATGGCCACGTGTCAAGTGAGGCCAGTGAGAACAAGGACAGCTGGGATGAGACTCCCTTCCCTGAGGGACAGGAGAGGTGACAAACCTGTCAGAAACTTAGACCACGCCCTCAGAGAAGGAAATAAGAGTTAAAGGAAGAATCCTCAAATTATTGACTTTTTGTTGTTGTTACCCAAAAAAGGCTGCGTTTTAGACTCATATGACTGAATTGCCTTGAATTAAGAAGCCTCATTATCCATTATCAAGAAAAAAAGAGATTGAGATGCACCACTTATGGAAAGCTGGAAGTATAGGTCACATGCAGAGATCAAGTCCTACTGGGTCTTGTCCTGCTGGCAAAACCTTGCTGCTCACTGCTGCCATTTAATGGGGTCACCTGTTGCTTCTGGGATAAATGGTATCTCTAGTGTGCCTAAGTATGTAGGGAGAGGTGTCTGGGCGTCTCTGACCACGGAGTCAGTAATGACAATTTGTTCTAGGTCACACCTGGGGCCCTCCGTGAGCCTGGTCTGGTACGGAAGAAATTCCCCCTACTCTTCTAGAACTCATCTGGTGTCGAGTGTATCAGGTAGTGTTGGATGGGCAAGAGATCTTCTGGGAGCCAGGGGAGAGAGAGACAGCTTGGTTATGGACAGAGCTCTAGAGCGACAGCTACACCCGTCTTGAATGGAGAGGTACCTGCCGGACACTCCAGGAAGCCTGAAATACAGGGATGCCTATGACCCACAGAAAGCCACACCAACCACCGGTCCCCTTCCCAGTCTACAGAGCAAATGTCAAGTAACTCAGATGGAGAGGGTAGATTTGGTGCTATGACTGCACCGGAGGTGGCTGCTGATGGTGACAAAGACAGCCTGGAAGCAGGAAGGCTGGGCCCTGGAATCACAGGTGTTAGGAAATGGTCAGCTTGGAGACCATCTGATCCAGCCCCTCCATTTACAGATGAGGAAACCAAGGCCCAGAGAGTGGAAGGCACTGTCATACGGCCACATAACCTTATCTGGAGCTCTTCTCCAAAGGCTGTTTCAGGGTTGCTGCTTGTTTCCAGGATCCAGCAGCTTGGGCCCCAGGTGCCAAATACAGACACAGCCTCAACCCCATTCTAAGCAACGCTGCGCTCTGCCTGCACCTGCTGTCAGCCCCCCCGTAGACAGCCAGACGAGTCACCCATCACGTGACCTGGCACAGGGGACTGTGGAAGGCCACAGTGATGGCTCTACGTGTAGCGCCGTGAGGAGGATGAAAGCAGCCTGGCTGGGTGTCAACAAGTGACCGCTGCACCTCAAAGACCACCAGGAGAATGGCCAGCAGCGTCCCCCCTTGGAGGCGCTCCCATACTCACCTTTCTCTTCTATATATCCCCAGCCGGCCACCCAGCAGCTCTGGGAGCCTCTGGGGAGGCCTGCCTTAAAGTGGGGCAGGCAGCCCGGCCCAATGAAGCGCCCACACGAAATGGGAGGGGTGATCTCCACGAGGGCAATGTCATTTCCCTCTGTCGCAGAGTTGTATTTTTCATGAATGATGATTTTCTCCACATATCTCTCTTGCAGAGGCGCCTTTACTGGTTTATTGTTCCCATATGTAATTTCCTTTGCTCCGAAAACCAGTCTCCAGTCATGCACATTACTGTGGGCACAAAGGTAAGCCAGGTCACAACCGGCTGGACAAAAGCCTGGTGACAGCGACCCTCAGGGCCTTCCCCTAGCAAAGGTCTGGACCAGCCCCCGGAGTCTTGCAGCCACTTGGCCCAGAGCCCCAGGGAGACGCTGCACAGCATCCCCGGGGAACGCCCCTCTCTGAGAAGAGCCGTTCTGAAGACCTCCCTCAGTGCATCCCTACACGTACTTTTTGCCGACGAAGCAGTGAGCAGCAGTGAGCACCCATCGTGAATTCAGCAAGCTGCCTCCACATGTGTGGTACCTGTGGCTGTTGTACGTGAAGATCTGGAGGCTGACCATCCAGGGCCAGGCCCCATGCTGTGCAGCCTTCCCGCCGACGATGCGGACACCACCCTGTGGGTTTTGCCTGAACCGTAACCCACAGGGGCCACTGGGGAGAGACCAGAGCACAGTTCAAACCTGGCATGAGCACAGCCTGTCCTTGTAACTCCACAACTGAGGGGAGGCAGGGACATGGGGTTGGGAAAAGTGGGGAAGAGCTTCCGGGTTCTGGGAAAGCAGGGGCAGCCTGCGCTATGTAGGAAGCCGCAGGCTCTAGGAAATGGTTCTGGGGCCACGACTTCTCAGGTCTTGTGGGTGCAGTCACAGATGGAGAAAGAGGAGGCCATAGGAAGCCAGGACAGGCTGCATGGGCCCTGAGGGATGGCCCGTCCCTGGGCAGAACAGGAGGGTAGAGGTGGGGATGCGGGGCCTGGGGACAGAGGGGTGTAATGGCCTGAGGTCCTTATAACCAATCTTGGGTGGGAGACTCAGGGAAGTCAGGTGATGAAGGGGGTCGTTGACAGTGATGGGAGGAGGGATAGCAGCCAGGGGCAGATACTGTGGCCCACAGGTGTAGGGGGCACACTGAGAGCAGTGGAGGTCTAGAGGTGGAGGCTCTGGGAACTGTGTCACGGGTGGGAGGCCACATATAGCTTGGGAGGTGTTGGTATTTCGGGGTACCTTGGAGTGAGAGAGCCTACTGGGGGGTAGGGGTGCAAGCGGTGTGAAGCGATGATATCCTGGGGCTGTTGGGGGCAACCACGGGTTGGGACAGCTGTCTGTGGGGGGATAAGGGCTCCCAAAATCAGGACTTCATGTCTTCAAGACAGTGGGGTCAGTCCCTGGGGGAGTGGGAGAGGCACAAGGAGCCTGAGGTGCTGAGGGGTCCATCTCTGGAGGAAACCACGAAAGCTGAGGGTCTGGGGGCTCCAGGCTGCTGATTCTGGGAGCAGGGGGGGTCCAGGTTAGGGATGCAGCCTCCTTTTCCCTAGCCCTGGACAGAGGGAGTCGGGGTGGTACCTGCTCCTCAGAAGATCCTTCCCCCACCAAGGTGCCCCGACACTTACTCACACGTGGCGTTATCTTTAGCAACCACGGACACTGCCAAGACCAGCAGAATGGCAGTTGGTAGCATCTCAACCATACTCCTGGCACTGCCTGGCCTGCAAGCCTAGTGACCTCACAAAGCTCCGTGGCTGCCTGGCCAATCAGCAGGGGTGACCCCCACCCCACCCCCAGCAGTCAGGCCAGGTAAGAGCCCCTCGCCTTAACTGGTTTGTGCTGAAGAGACTTCTTGACTTCCTGCATAGGCTCCCCCACCACCAGGATGATGGGGGACTCCTGTGCAGCCCCACTCCCTCTGTCCCAAGGCCAGGATCTCCATTCCCAGTAACTCTTGCGAGGTCCCCACATCACCCAAGGCTCTGGCTTTGTGCAGGTTCAGAGTCTGCCTCTCATGCGTGCTGTGACCACTGCAGACTCACAGACTGAGGAGCGGCTCAGCCCTTCAGTGATGAGACGGTGCAACATGTTTGTGGATCAGAGGAGTCAGGGTCAGCAGATTAATTGATCCTTAATTGTTGTTGGGGAAGTTTTCTTTTCCTCTTCCAAGTGAATGCTATCAACACACTTTTCCAAGAGTCATTTTGAATTTTCCTAATTTACAACTGCAAAGCCCACCTTCCTGTCCGTTGCTGAATATCACAAGGTCTCCTATTATCCTGAATGTCTCCAGATCGGCTTTCTGTGACTGAGGTGGAGCAAGGTGTTTTCTCCTATACTTGAATGTCAAGAGTTTTCATACAGCTACCTGAATATCATGAAGCATCATTTTTCCCATCTGATCATCAGGAACTAGCATCTCACCTACCAGAGTGTGACAAATGCTTATTGCAAACACCTGAATGTTAAAACATTTCCCATCGCCTGCAAGTGTCAGGAGGTCACACTCTTACCTGCATGAGGGCAGCCTTACCTCTTCTACCTGAATGTAAGATCTCAACCAGCCCGAGGGTCAATAGGTTGCACATCATCTAAGTGGGTGTCAGAAGGTCCCATGCCTCCAACCTGAGTGTCAGGACATCTCATCTCCTATTCCTGAGTGTTGAGTTTTCAGATTATCAGATGATCTTGATTTATCTATTTTCTCTAACTGAATGTCGTACTTATGACATCCTCAAATGAATGTTCAATAGGTCTCGTATATCTTACCCAGTATCAGGGAGTGATCACCTCCTTCTTTGAAAGAAATAACAACTCTGTTTTTCCACTTCAGTGCCAGAGGCCCTCATCGCCTCCACCTACAGGTTAAGAATTCTCACCTCCACCACCCAAGTGTCACCCTGTCGCACTTTCTCTACCTGAAAATCAAGAGGTCTTACATCTTCCAGCTGAATGTCAAGAGGTTGTATTTTACCTATATGAATGTTCTGAAGTCTCCACCGGTATACCAGAGTGTTGGGAGATCTCATTGCCCCCATCTGGGTGCCAGGGCATGTCCTACCCTCTACTTGAATATAGTCTCATATCCCTGTCTAAATGGCATGGAGCTTTCATCTCCTCTGCTAGAGTATCATGAGATCTCCTCTATTCTGGGTGTCCAAAGTTCTCATCTCAACCCCCTGAGGTCTGGAGGTATTCTCACCTCTTCCTGGTTGTCTGGAGGTCTCATCTCCCTTACCTGAGAGTCATGAAACCTCCTATCTCCTATATGCCCTATCTAAGTCATGACACTTTATCTCCTCCGAGTGTCAGGGGATTTTTCTACCTTTATGTCAGGTAGCCCCACTTCCTCTAGCTGAAGGGCATACAAGTTCTATTTCGTGACTTGAATGTGAATAGGTTTCAGCTGCACTACTGAGTGTTAGCGGACCTCACTTATTTTAACTGAGCATCAAGTTGTGTCTCATAAATAACCAGAAAAAGACTTTGGAAATATGGTTCAAGAAATGGCAAGAAGAATTGAAGAAGTGGGCCCAAGTGCAGAGGCTCATGCCTGTAATCCCAGCACTTTGAGAGGGTGAGGCAGGCAGATCACTTGAGCTCAGGAGCCCCAGACCAGCCTGGGCAACACGGCAAAACCCCGTCTGTACAAAAAATACAAAAATTAGCCAGGTGCAGTGGCACCTGCATCCCAGCTACTCAGAAAGCTGAGGCAGGAGAATCATTTGAACCCAGAAGGCAGAAGTTGCAGTGAGCCGAGATCGCACCATTGCACTCAAGCTTGGGCAATGGGAGTGAAACCCTGTCTCAAAAAAAAAAAAGAAGAAGATTAAAGTTTTGACTGTTAAAGAAAATATTATTCGGGTGTTTTTAATGGATAGCACCTATTTCTTTACAAATATTTAGGAGGTATCAATAAAAAAGTCTGAAGACCCAATGTCAGTGTCTGGATTCTAGAAGACCATTACAGTTTGACTCCGCAAAGCTTACCCACTTCTGATTCTAGAAGGGGCTGCCAGTCATCGTGCCTGCCCGTGGCTATAGTGATGGTTGCGGGAAAAGTACCTGGCCCGGCCCATTTAATTTTGTCATTAAACTAATGGAAGCAACAAACATCTCAACTCAGAGTGACTTTGTCTGACCTTCTTCATGCTGTTCTAAGAGCGAAGGAGAAATGGGTGACAGGTCTGGGGCCAGAGGGTGGGGTCCCATCCGAGGGCATGGCTCAGGCTGAGGCAGAGTGCTCAGCACAGGGGGCAGGATGGGGGCTCCCCATCTCCCCTCAAACTCCTCCCTGCTCTCTGCTTCCACCCTGACCCCCAGGCACCCCTCCAGCTCATCCCAGCCATTCTCGCTGCTCCTGCTCACCCCAACCACCCGCTGCCTTCGCCAGCCGTGCCCACTTCTGTCCCCATGCCTTATTTACCTGGGCAATCCAACTCCCACCCCAGTTTTTCTCACCCTGATCTCCAATCCCTTCCAGCCCCCAATCCCCTACTTTTCCATTCCTGTCCCCACCACCCTCCGTGAGGAGCAGAAACCTTATCCAACCATCCTCAATGTCCAGCCAGCCAGGAAGGCAAGAAGATCCCAGAGGGAGTAAGAATGGTTGACGCAGTGAAACCTTGAGGGCCGAAAAGGGGTAGGTTTCAGGTCTTCACCCAGGGGAAGCAGGTGCCTCGGGGGTGGTTTAAGCAAGCAGGTGAGGGTCTGGGTGGCGCCATGGAGAAGGACGAAGGCCCTTTGAGGCTATGGTTGATGACAGCTTGAAAACCAGCCTCAGGCTGGGCAAGGTGGCCCACACCTGTCATCGAAGCACTTTGAAAGGCTAAGGAGGGTGGAGTTCTAGACCAGCCTGGGCAGCAAAATGAGGCCCCCATCTCATAAAAAATAAAAAAAAAATTAGTCAGGTGTGATGGCCCACGCTTGCAGTCCCAGCTACTTGGGAGGCTGAGGCAGGAGGATCGCTCAATTCCAGGAGGTTGAGGCTACAGTGAGCCACGATCATGCCCCTGCACTCCAGCCTGGGTGACAGGGTGAGACCTTGTCTCAAAACAAAACAAAAGCAGCCTCCATGTCCTGGCCCTGCCCCAAAGTTGTCCACAGGTCTTGGGAGTGGCTGGGGGGTGCCAGCCCACAGGAAGAGCAGAGGCCACACAATTTCAAATTTTCAACATTTCCTAATCCTCATCTTATTTTCAGATTAGAAACTGAGGCCATCATAAGGAAAGGGCTGCACGGGAAGTCAAGGAGGGGGGCCCTGCAAGGGTCTGAGTGTGGGAGCAGGGGGCCCCTGACTCGCTCTGGGCCTGAGTGTGTGGAATCGGGAGGGTGGGTCTCCCTGGGCTGCACATGGAGCCCTAGGCCTCCATGGGGACTCAGAGTCTGGGGCTAGTGGCACTTCTCCACGGTGCCACCGGCCCCACCCCTGGCTAAGGTTAACCACAGAGCCAAGGTATGCGATTGTCATTCTGTCATATTCACGCGCCTCCTCAACCCAGTGTGTCCAGGCTCTGAAACCACTGCCCCTCCTGTAAGCAACCCTCCCCACCGGGGACGTCACATCTCTGCAGCCCCTGGCCTCAGTGCTGGGTCCTGTGCCCTCTACTTTCTCACGGCTCCCTCTTGATTGCCTTTGCCCACTTGCCTTACTGTTTGCCCTTCAAGACATAGCTCACCACCTCCTTCCACTCAGCGAGGGGTCTCTGTCCCTCCTGTTGGCTGGCCACCCCCACCAGGTGCCACCCAGGACGTGTCTTTTTTGCCACATTATCGGCTGCTCACATGACTGCCTGTGCGCTCCTGAAGGACAATGTCTTGTCTCTGGTGCTCAGGGTGGGAGCAAAAAGGAAACCTCACATCCAACTGGGCAGACAACCCAAGGTGAGAAGCACCAACTTGCTCTAATTTGAGATAGCACCAGGGCCGTGCAGACGCAGAGCCTAACATCTAACTGGGACTCCAGGGAGGGCGGGTCAGAGAAAACGTCCTGGAAGACAGGATCCGGAGATCAGCCTCCAAGCTATGTATGCTTGATGCAGGCAAACGATGGGTGATCCAGGCAGAAGGAAGAGGGCATGTGTGAGACAGAGCCCTGAAGCGTCATAGCGGCTCAGGGATTGCAGGAGGTGGGGGGAGACTGGCGAGCAGCATGTGTGCATGGGGAGGGAGCAGGGGATGCTGGCAGGGCCACGGCAGCACTGGCTGGGCCGGACTGGCTCACGGGGTCCATCCATCAGCTGCATTTACAGACAGGCTGGTGTTTGTCAGCAGAGGGCAGAAATGGAAACAGAAAACCAGTGAATCAGCAGGGAAGGAGTGAGGGCTAAATCTGGTCTGCAGCCGTGGGGTAGGACAGTTGCGAGAGATGCGAGCGGGTTCCAAGACAGGAGCAGCAGAATTTAAAAGCAACCGGACGCTGGCGGGAGCAAGTCTTAAACCCTAGGCTTAAAACCTGGCAGGGGTCATGGAGGACAAGTGGCCTCCAGCTTAGGAGGTGCTACTCAGTGGGTTGGTGAACAGAGAAAAGCTTTCGGTGCAGAAGGCATGGGCTGAGTTCCAGCAGACTCGGAGAAGATGCTGGAAGATGCCAGGTGCCTAGGCATGGAGGTCAAAGATAGGGATCTAGGAGTCACCCGTGCATGTGGTCCAGGCTGAGGAGGTTTGTGTGGCCGGTATGAGGGACAGACACAAATATCCCCTCAAGCAGGCAACTGAGCCATGGCTTCATTTCTTATAAATTTATTACATAATAATATTATAATAATTATTATCAATAATAATAATATAAGAAACATAGATCTCTGTGGGGCGTATCACAACGTCAGGGTCAGGAGGCCTCAGGACTGGAGCAGGGGGTGAAACCCCCCGGATGGAACTCCATACAAAAGGAGGTGAAGCGGAACTGACCCTGTAAAGTTAAAAACCCAAATTGAACGGAACCAAAACCCACAGGTGAGTGTGAGACCGAGTGTGTATGTGGCAGTCTGTTACAGTGACTGCTGCTGTGTGACCTGGACTGTTGGCGGAAGGATGAGTGGGTGTGACTCTGTGCCCAGGGAGTGGGGCCGGTGGGCCAGGGCGGGGCGGGCAGGCACAGACCGGCGTGCCAGGCCCCTGGGTTGTGAAAACTTCTGTTTTCTTTTTTTTTTTATTTTATTAAAAAAAGCTAGAAATATAAACAGAAACTTGTGAGTGACGTGGATGGAGCTTAGTCCAGACTCCAAACCCTAGGTTTAAAAACGTCCCAGGGCCCCCCACCCCACAGGTCATCGCTGAGTGTGAGGAGTCACAGTGTGGGGGGCTGGGCACCCTCGGGGGTCTTTGACTCTCCCCAGGGCCTGTGGTGAACTGACTCTAGGGGTCCCCCTATGATGCCCTCAGAAGCCCAAGGTGGGGGCGCTGCCTCCAAGGGGCCCTTGGGGCCTCCCCAAGCAGCAGGGATTCACCAGGGAACCCCGCTCAGGCTGGGTGAGGCTCTGGAAGGACAGGCTGGGCAAACAGCTGGACCCAGGGTGCAGGATGGCCTCTGACTTTCTTTGGAAGAGGAGACAGGGTGCTCTCACAGGTACACCCCACGCATGCACACGGTGCACGCCTCCACGGCCCCGCGCTAGTCCAGAGCGGCCCCTGGTGGCCACTCAGTAATCAGGCACACACACGGCTCCCACGTGCTCAGACGCACCCAGTTTCACCCACACACATAAAGGGCAGGACAGGAGACTTTGGGGTCCAAGGCAGGGAGGCTTCTCTGCTGTAGTTGCCCAAGAGCATGGGGACCAAGCTAGCCCCCTCCTTGGGGAGAGACCCTGTGAGGAAGATGGCTGCGGTGGAGCGGCAGGGCCCTGCCCTCATCCCCCCCGGCCGATGGTCTCCCAGGCCGGCTGGTCCCGCGGGTGCACAGCAGGACCCGCGGCCTGCCGCCCCTCCCACCACGAGCAGCACCTGAAGGGTCGGTGGGGCACACTAGAGCTCAGCGAGGCGAGGGGCCGAGCTGGGGCCCCAGGGCGGGCCACTAGGGCCCTGGCCAACCCCAGACCAGCTGGAGCGTCCCCTGCCCCGTTGTGGGGTGGCAGTGGCAGTGAGGGGCCGGAGATGGAAGACTGGGCAGCTGCAGTGGGACCAGTGGAAGTAGAAGGGAGGGGAGAGGAAACTATTACGGACAGAGATATTTGTTCCTTTTCTCGTTCCAAATATAGAGTGGATTAAAATATGCAAAACAGGGGGGCTCCTTGGCCCCCATCGAGAATCCCAATGTCTCCCCCCTCCCCCCGAGTCACCAAGGCGGGTCCTGACCTCGCATGCTGGACTAGGTTCCCCCTCTGGGAGAATGGCCACCAGGAGCTGCGAAGGAGGTGGTCACGCTAGGGCACCCCACCCCCGGCACCTCCCGCCCCAGCCTCCCTGGTCCACGCCCTTCCTGACTGTGCGCTGGGTGGGCTGGGCGGCCGGTGAGGGCACTAAGCAATGTACAGGGCGAGTCTCCGAGCAACAGCAAACAGGACGATTCATGCAACATTCCTGGCCCGGGCGCCGTCGTAAGGGGCAGGCCGAGCCCGCGGCCCGGGGTGGGGGTGGGGGGCCCTGCCGGCAGGGCACGGCCGGGGCGGGAGTGGGGGTGGGGCGTCAGCTGCCGTCCAGCTGCCTGAGCGCGCGCTCGATGTTCATGCGGTGGCCCACGCGCGTGACGCCCAGCTCCACGAAGTCGTCCTTGGTAAGCGCGGGTAGGTGCGCGCCTTCTATCTCATGGTCCTCGAAGCGGTCGCGGTGCTCGCCTAGGTGGATGCTCTCCAGCCAGTCGCCCACGTCGAACTTGCTCCAGAGCTGCAGCGGCTTCTGCTGGAAGGGTCGGCGTGGGCCGGGGGCGCCGGGGCCGGGGCCGGACGCGGGCGAGGGCAGCGGCGACGGCGAGGGGGAGCGACTGCGCGCGCTCACGCTGCGCACCACGAAGCGCACCTCCTTGGGCTCGTGCGGGATGGAGAGGCTGGACGACTTGAGGATGGTGGGGGGCGTGAGGCCGAAGGGCCGCCCTGCGCCCCCCGCGCCCGCCCCCAGCCCCTCCACCCGCTCCAGCGACGCGGGCTTCACCGGGCTCGGGGCGCGTCTCGCCACGGGGTAGCGGCCACTGGGCCTCACCGAGTACGAGGCCCCGCCGCCCGGGCCCCCGGGGCTGCGCTGCGCTGAAATGGAGCTCAGCTCACCGAGGCTGCTGAAGAGCCTGCGGAGGGAGAGGGGTCAGCGCCAGGTGAGGGGCGCACAGCCAAGGGGGGACGGGCGGAGGGGAGCGGGCAGGGTCCAGGAGGAAACGGGCTGGGGCTGCGGCTGGCGGGAGTAGCCCGGCCAGAGGAAGAAATAAAGGGTGGGATCCTACGGTTACCCTGGCCCTTTTCTTTGGCCCCTGGGACCAGAGCCAGCGACTGGCTGGAATATGAGGAATGACTGGTGGCCCCCTCCACTCCATCCAGGCTCCAAGTGCAGCCCAACCAAAGAAAAGACAGCCTCTCATGGCAAAGGGCGGGCTTCTCCCTCCTGCCAGCCTCCGACACCGGCTCTGGGCATGGCGGGATCCACAGATACCCGGGACGCTGAGACTTGGGCAGTACCCTTCACCGCCCACCCCCCACACAGCTCTGCTCTCATGAGAAGACCCAGGGGATCCTGGGCAGGTTCCAGGGACAGCTGAGTCGCGATAAAGGCTGGCAGCAGCACGAGGTTGAACAGGTCCGTGACACAGGAGACAGACACTAGGCAGGGCTCGTACCCGTATGGAGCAGCAGCACATGCAGGGCAGGTGTGAGGCCGTGCACACCCTCAACACAAAGGCAGCCTCCTGCACAGACGGCACACAACAGCAGCAACGGTGCCCACACGCGTTACAGACATGCTGCGGTGGCAGCAGCACACACACGCAGACACGCAACACGCACACATGCACGCACGCACACACACAAGAACCGATGGCAGCTCACTTCCCAGCCTCACCTGACAGGACCCTAGAGCTCTAGCCCCTCCTTGGCTCTGCCGTGGTGGGAGGCCTACCTGGGGTGATAGCTCCAGAGAAAACCCACTCCCATGTCCTCCCATTCCCATCCCTATCCCCACTGTGTCAGGGGAAGCCTCAAGGGGCTGTCAGTGGCACCAGAGCCTCTCACAGCCACGCAGAGCAGAGACCCAGGCAGACAGGCACAGCGTGTGGACGGCAAGAGGCATGGGATGGGCATGCTCACTTACACAGCCGGCGCTCGGGACCACGGCGCAGCTCGACAGAGCAGCCACATGCAGATGGGCAGGAGAGAGCAATGAGAGAGAGAGTTAGCCGGCCAGGCCCACGCGACCCACAGCTGCAACCACACAATGGGCAGCCAGGTGTGGAGGGAGGAACTCAGGTGCAGAGGGCCCAGCTGCTGTGGGAGGGACAAAGCTGGAGCTGCTGGTGGAGGAGAGGCGCCTGTGCGAGAGTCTCCAAGTGCAGGTGAACCACAAGCGTGGCTGCAGTGCTCGGCAGGTGCCTGGCCGCCTGGGGGTGCTGAGCCCCTGACATCCTCTTTGGCCGGGCCCCTCTCCAGTGGCCCTCCCACCCCCTCTCCCTGCCCCTGCCCAGGCTGAGTCCCCCCACCCCAACCTCTGTGCTGTCCTCACCACACAGCATCACCAGTCCCTGCCCCATACAGGCATGGGGCTCCCCTTAAAGGCTGTCCTCACCACACAGCATCACCAGTGCCTGCCCCACACACGCATGGGGCTCCCCTTAAAGCAGGTTTCGTCTTTTGTCTCCCACCTGTGAGAGGTCAGCCCTCTGTGGAGATCTGAGCTCTGTCTCTCCCATGGGACCTCATTTCTGTCCTCTCCTCAGCCTCTGTCCCTACTGCCTCCTCCCAGCTGCTCAGATCCAGAGCAGAACTTCCTGAAGAGGCCACACTGTGCCCCCAAACAGAAAGGGGCTTCAAGAACACCTGAGGTGGGCCTCAGCACAGGCACCAACCACCAGAATAAGCTGTCTTTGCTCCCATTGGACCTGGCCTCCATGGATCCACCTGCACAGTGGGCCAAAGTGGGGAGGCAGCCAAGGTTGGGGGGATTCCCAAGGGGAGGTGCCAGGTGGTGTTGGGTCGGGGGGTCCCCTGGGGGTGGGTGCCCAGGTGGTGGTGACTGCTGGAGGGGCTTGCCAGAGGAGACTCCGAGAGAATCACTCAGAGGGACCTGACTGTGGACACCCAGAGAGGGGCAGGACCAGGAATATGCACCTGGCCTCCACCCACCAGCCCCAACAAAGTGGCCCTGGCCTGGGGACCTGTATCACAGGATGGACACCTACCCTGGCCCTGCCCCTGCCCCAAGGCTTAGCTTTCAGTGGAGTTGTGATGGCAGGTGTACCTGGAGTCTCAGGTGTGACTGAAGCACACTGATGAGTTGCAGGACCACAGCAGTGAAGGCAGAGGCACAGGGCAGGCGCGGGCAGCGCAGCCAGGAGGCTCGGCCGGAGCCCAGAGCAGGGTCTGGGCTCCAGGAGGTCCGAGCTGGGCAGAGCAGAGTTGTGCCTGTCTGGGTAGTACTGGCAGGGGCTGAGCTGGAGACCTGGGCAGAGGGCAGGCTGGCTCCAGAGGCACCCACGGAGCCAGGGGCCCGAGGGCAAGAGATGTGAGGAGAGCCATTCACATTGCTCCCGCCTCCCAGAGCATGCTGGAGATGTCAGGAGGCCAAGAGAAAACGCCCAAGGAAGGCTGTGCCTGCCAAAGGCCCCAGGGCACAGGAGGGAGGGGCCTGGGGTCACCCATGGCCCAGGTGTCTGCTTCTCCTCTTTCTCTTGGGGAAGAGGGTACTGCCCACACCATCCCCAGGGCACAAACCCGAGCAGTGTCCATGTCTGACTTCCATGTTTCCATGGCCTCTCTGCACACCCACTGTCACTCTCAGCCGTCTGGCCACCTCCCTGGCCAGGCTCCGGCCGCCAAACAGCCACATCACAGCACCTGCCAGCCTCCCAGAGAGCTTCTGGGCCACCCACCCTCTAACACATGATACTTCACCAGGCACCGTCACCCACGAACACCTCCAGCAGCCACGCTGAAGAGGCTGAGTCCAGATCACACTGAGGCCCCCACGGCCCCACGTCTTTCCACCTACATTTGAATCCTGCACCGTCTCACTGTTTCCCAGTGACTCTCAGCCAGTGAGAGAGGTCTGGCCTTGCCACACCCTCCCCACTCCGCCCTCTGCCCCACAGTTGGCCAGGCGGTCAGCAAGACCCCGCTGCTGACCTGTTCATGTTTCCCTTCGAGACATTCTTTCCCAGGCCTCTTCCTTCCTAGATGGATTTTCGGAGAGCTCCCCTCTTAGTTTGCAGTTTCTCCTGGGCAACATTATCCACTCACACCCTTTGCTATGGCCAGTGTGCCCAGGAATGCTACATGTGAGACCCAGACAGCCTCTGATGAGTCCAACACCTCTACTGGGGTATCCACACATGTCCCTCCATCCCCAACTCAGTGAACGGCACCCTGTCATTGCCACACACAGAGCCTGGGAGCCACCATCAGCTCCTCTTTTTACCCTACAGCCAATGGCTAACTCCTAATATCAACCCAGACCTTCTCTTTACCCCTTGCCATTTCTGGATCCAGACCGTTCATGGTCTCAGGCCCTTCACCCCACTTCTTACCAGTTCTCCTTGCCTCCTGGTACCTAGCACAAAGCCAGGAATACGAGATGCACTAACAAAATGCAAAAATAGTATGTATGACATGTCCCTGCCAGGCGTGCCCAACTCAGTCAGCCCACTAGGGCCAACAGGCAGGAAAATGTCCACACTCGGGCCCGGGATACTGCCTCGGGCCTTCTGCCACTGCACTCACGTGGGGCCGGTCTAGGCCTGTGGCCTTTTGCAAACTAGGGGCCTCATTAAGGGAACTAATTCTCAGAGGAGCACAAAACCAGACATGGGCTCGGAAGCTTCCAGTGCATCCTCTGCGGTAACACGTCTTGCTCCTCGGCACCCCGCCTGTTCCCAGCTCCAGCTCTGATGGGCCCCAGTGTCCTATGACCCCTCCTCTGTACCTCCTTCCTACTCCCCGAACAGGGTTCAGGGATCCTGGGAACACACCTGCCCCAGCTGCATGTGGCCTGCAGGGGCCCCCACTGGCAGGTATGTGACACATTCAGTCTGGGTTTCAAAAGAGCAGGCCCTGCTGGCCTTGGCCCTGCTTACCAGTGTGATCCACCAAGCACACAGTGCTTTGTCCAGAGCCCTGACAAATATATTAGCAGGCAGGGTCTGCAGCAGGCCACCAGGGCAGGGCTTCTTGACCATTTTGAGGAACATGGGTCTTCTGGGAGACCTAGGAACTGACTCTAGCAGGTCTGGAGACCACGGCACACAGTGCCCTCCTCCACACAAGCTTGTCAAAGGCACCAGAAGTACTGCAGCAAAGAACCTCTTTTTGTGTTTCCAAAGCTACTTTGCCATGAACTTTACCTACAAAACCAGATGTGAGAGTCCCATGTAAAGCTAAGTGCCAAGGCAGACGTGAGCCTTACTATGGACCTCAGACCCCACATGGGATTCAGATCCGAGCACGGGGCCTGGAAGACAAATGGAGTTTAGAGCCAGGTGTGAAGCCAGGGTCTCAGAGACAAGTGAGAGCCTCAGACAGATGGGGTGCCTGTGGCCAGTTGTGGGGCTCGGAGTCAGGTCTGAATCATGCCCAAATGTAGCCTCAGAGTCAGGTGTGGGGCCCAGAGACCGAGGAGGGGCTCTGGGCAGATGAATGGTCTGTCCAGCAGAGCTAGACTTGGAGCTGGGAGCACAGAGCAGGTGGACAATCTGGGATCGAGGATTCAAAAGGCCGAAGGTCCTGGACCTTCCAGAGGCAGCATGAGAGTGCCACATCCTCCAGGTTCCCCTGAAAATCAAAGGTGGCCCCAGAGCTCATCATTTTTCCACAGGTTACCGAGCTTTGGTTCCACGACATACAGGACAGCTTAACTTGTCCAGAAAGCTCTCAGGCCACAGAACACCTTGTGGCTAAAGCACATCAGGAATGAGCCATCTCTGGAAAAGGTGGGTGGGCATTCCCTTCCTCATGGTGTCGGTCAGGGAGGAGAAGGATGGGCCTGGGAGACAAACACTGTGGAACACAAGGGGCTGGAGACACAGCTCAGGGTATGGCCCTGAGGGTGACCTAGCGCCTCTGCCACGACTGGCCCTGGGAAGGAAGCAGCCATACCTGGATGTCAGAACCTCCCACACTTTAGGCAGTTCCACCAGCAGTTTTATCCCTAAGTGAGCAGTGAGTACCGGACTCCAGCCATTAGGGGCCGCAGGACAAGAGCTGACAACAGCCACGGTGGGCACACAAGGACCAGATCTGAAACAGGACTGGACTCAGACATCACCAAGTGTCCTGTGCTCCGCTCCGCTGCCTGCAGCCAGAAGCACCGGAAGTTAAGGGCCCAGGGTGGGCAGGGGCCCCTCCAGATGGCTGTAGTTCAGCCCAGGTCTGAGGGCGAGAAGGAGCGCAAGAGGGTGAAAGGAAGAGTGAGCTGGAACAGAAGGTAACACAGAGGCAAACTGAGAAGGAAAAGCAGGCCCGGGTAGGCCACTCAGGTGGCACCAGGTGCTACTTATGACAAACATGACCAGTAAACAGCGGGGGTGAGTCTGTGCCATGCACACACCTGCCACTTCTGTGGAGGGGCGTTACTGGGCAAAAGCCCATTGTGTGTCATCAGAAGGGGCTTAACAACAGCGGCCCTGGTTACGGCAGCCAGAGAGCAGGGCTCATGGTCAGGCAGACCACCGTTTTCTGTCTGCAAGGAAGCTCTCTGGTACCTCAGTTTCATTGTCTGGAACATGAGGATTCTGTTAGTGTCCGTCTAACAGAACGGTGTGAAGACAAACTGATACGGCAGGACCGTCTCCAGTGCTGCATCCAACAGGCTTGTTTTCCCACAAAGGACTCTAAGACCTCACCTAGGTGTCGTCAGTGACAGCAAAGACAATGGCAGCTCACACCAGTGAGGGGTCCACAGGCCCCAGCCCTGGGCCTACCAGGTGCTTCACAGGTGATGCCGTGTGCAGCCTCGCGATAGCCTGTGCAGTTGGCTCGCTGTAAATACACTTCACAGGGGAGGGATACAGCACTAAGCTGTGACCTCCTGAGCACCGACATCAGGGCCCTCTGATGGCTCCAAGCCAATGACCGGCAAGGAAGTGAGTTGCTGATGCCAGTGGGGGCCGTGTCACAGAACATTGGTTGCTACAGGCTGTCCAGCATCTACTTACTCAAGGGACAGCACTGGACTTCCATCTGGAGAGCCCCCTCCCCTCACTCTCAGCACCTGCTTGCTAGGTGGGCGGACCCATCCCCCTGGCTCCTGGGAGAACAGAGGACTCAAGCTTGGCCGATGACAGCCCTATGTCCCCAGACCCCAGTGATCAGTCAGGGAAAAGCAGAGGACCCACATGAACCCAATCAGAGATCAGAATTTTGCAGGAACTACTGAGTAAAAGAACAGACGTCACGTAAGGGTCAGGGCTGCTGGTCTTGTCCTTCCCCATCCCACATCTGAGAAAGAAAAACAAACAGGGTCCTGGTGAAAGCCAGAGCCAAGGGCTAAGAGAACCGTACCCTGATCAAGACAGAATGCTAAAGAGCACCGTGGGAGGATGAACTCAGAGAAGGGGAAGTGCCAGAGGTTCCGGCTGAGGAATCCCCTGACCCTGCCCTGCAACTGCTGCAGCTGCCTCACAGGAGAGGACAGAGCCAATGACGAGACCTGGGCCCACCTGAGCCCGACCATGGGGGATCGACACCTGATGAGTCTGAACGCTGAGTAAGTCCTTCTGTGGGTTTTTGTCCTAAGCCACCTCCCTAGATCTCAAATCACAAAACACAGCATTTGCATTTTGCTTTGTTCTTTCATCCATTTAAGAAATGTTTATTGAGGGCCCGAACCAGGCCAGGCACTGTGCTATGCACTTTTTAAAATGGCTTTGATTTTCATCAAGACCAAGAGGCAGAGAAGAGCGGAGGGAGAAGCAGAGAGGGAAGATGGGGGCTGGTCAGGTGTGGGTCAGGAGACCCCAGCCTCAGGGGTCTGGTCCTGTACAGAGGCCTAGGACCAGGCTGCTCACTCTGATTATAACACCCATTCTACGGGCACCTTCAACACTGCACTGCTGGGAAGAGGGCTTTCCAGTTTGGCTGAGAGTTGGAAAAGGCTAAAAGGGGAGAGGACCCCAGAGCAATTCCCCAGGATGACAGGAGCTGGAGGCAGCATCCCGGGACCTTAGGAGAGGCCTCATGAGCTTCCCAAGCTCCTACCTGTCTTTTGAATCCTGAACTAAAGAAGGTAGAATGGCCAGGCCTTTGTAAGACCTGCAAAGTCCTTAAGTTCTGAACACGTTGCTACGCTGTGAACTCTGTCCTCCAAGGCTGACAGTACGGGGCCCACTAGGTTGGTCTTCCAGGCAGCAAGAAGCAGGAGTCAAGAGGTGGCATCCACATACCACCCCCCCAGACCCAAAGAGGAGAGGGGAGACCTAGGGGCACAGAAGGCAAAAGCAGCTTTAAAAAGGCAGACAAGGGGGCGGGTGGGGGATGACCAGCTCTGCCGCCAGCATCCATGCAGCCCACGGGCCCGAAGGGCTCCTCTTTGGAAGGAGCCTTGGGAGTCGGGTCCTCAAGGAAAGACCTATGGGATCAGCCCAGGGCTCTGGCAGCTGTGACAGCCTCAGCAGCAAGCCAGGCCCCTGCTCAGATCCTTCTGGGCAGGGGCAGGACAGACGGGGAAGTGGTGGGGAGAAGGCAAGAGGGCAGATGGAGTGCAGGGAGATGGCGTGACTTCCATCTATCTTCTTACTGCACTTTAGAAATGACACACGGGAATCCATGTTTAAGGGATTCTAAGGTGGTGCCAAGAGACAAATGTTTCTGGGATGGGAAATAGGGAGTTAGTGGCAGATCCCCCAAAAGAAAAGGAGTCAGTGTGCTCCAAGCCGCCAGAGGAAGCAAGGCAGGAGGCAGCTGTAAGGCAGAGGGTATCAGCCACACTGGGCAGCCACATGGCCACAGAGAGGATGGGAGGAGGGAGGCGTACCTCCAAAGTAAAACACAAAACAACCCTTAATGGTAAAGACAGCCTGTGTCGGGAGGGAGAGAGAGAACTCACAGGAATCCCTGGGGCCAAGAGCCTCCAGGAGGGCCATGGAGGCGCCTCATGCCCAACCTGAGTCTCTGAGGGGAGCCCAGCTCCCACTTCTGGCACCAACAGGGACACAGTGAGCAGCAACCCTGACGTGTCAGACGCCCAGAAGAACCTCCTCTCTCGGGCAGGCCAAGCAAGACCGGATTCAGAGGTGGATGGCGGGGGCGGGTTGGGGGTTGCCACAGAAGGAATGGAACAGAACAAGGAGGAACAGGAGAGCCAGAGAACAGACAAGAGGAATGACAGACGGGGCCACGGACAAGGCACGGATCCCTCCCCGCACCGCCCTGCTCACCGAGCTGCTGCGATGGGCGACTTCTTGGCAGGGTCCAGCAGGCTGCCCAGGCCACCAACTGGTTCCTCCCCCAGGGAACGCGTGTCCTTGTTCAGCTGCTGCAGGCGGGAGCTGAGCTCACTGATCACAGTTGGTTTGTCGTCTTCAGGCCCAGGGAGCCCCCGGCTCTCCACGGGGTCCCCCCATAGCTTGGACCTTCTCTGGAAGAGGTAGCGAGGGCGGGCAGGCCCGGCGGCAGAGGCCAGCCCGGCAGAGGCGGCGTGGTGCTGCTGGGCCATGAGCTCGCTGTCCGAGGACTGCTTCAGCAGCGGGTCCCTGAAGGTCACCGGCCCCTTCCCCAGCGGGGACTTGAGCTTGGGCTTGGGAGGCACTGGTGGCTTCTCGAGTAGAAAAGTGTGTCCGTCAGCGAAGGAGGTGTGGGTGTCAGTGAGTTCCCCGCTCTCCGAGCTCAAGGTGGACATGCTGGACACCGTGGAGATGGTGCTTGTGGTCTCCAGGTGGGGGTCGCTGGAGCTGCGTGTGTCAGCCTCCTCCACCCCAGAGTCGGCTGCAGACTCAGGGGCAGGGGGTGGCTCACTGCTGGGCTTCCCTGAGGCCGGGCTGGGCACCGTGGTGGGCGAGGGGCCCGGGCCAGCGAGTGGGGTGGCCAGCAGGACCCCGTTGGCAAACTCTTCAGGGGGTGGCACCAACCCAATTCGGGCCAGCTCCTCCCTGGTCTCCTCATCGCTGGACGACAGCTGGGCAGGTGGCAGGTTCACAGCAAACACCAGCTCTGGCTCTTCCTCTGAGCTGCCCTGGCCTGGCCCGGCGTCTGCCGGGGTGCCACCAGGGGGCTGGGCCCGGGGGCTGGGCAGGGGCTCTGCCACAGCCGCTGACTGCATGGGGGCCGGGGCCAACTCCGGGGTGCCCGGGCGCTCCTCTTCGGCCCCCCCCAGCCTGCTGGGCTCCTGCCCGTTGCTGGTGGCGTGCACAACGATGAGGCCAGCTGGCCGCTGCAGGGATGTGTCCAGGACGCTGAGGATCATGGACTTCTTGTCCTCGGGTGACTTCCGCTCCTCCCGGGGGACCTTCTCTGCCTCCCTGCGAGCAGGCACAGGAATCCAGGCTGGGCTCCGTGGGGAGAAAGCCGGGGAAGCCAGGGACCCTCGCTCTGGGTCCCGGGCCTGTACATCCACAAACAGGGGTCCGGGGCGGTCGGCGTCGGGACTGTGCACGGGTGTGGGGGACCGGGAGGGCGCCTGGGAGGCCAGAGCTCGCTCTCGGGCAGCCAGGGCAAGGGCCAGGGGTGAGCTGGGGTCCAGGGGTTTGCCGGTGAGTGGGTGGATGAAGGTGGAACCCGAGGGCCCCAGGCTCGGGCCGCTGACCAACGGCTTCAGGGCAGACACCGGGGAGGGCAGCAGCAGGTCGCGGCCGGCGGTGGGGCCGGTCCCCAGGAGGCGCTCGTCGATGGAGCGGGAGGGCTGTAGGGATGGCAGATCCGCGCCGGGGGCGCTGCCCTCGATGGCCCCCACGGACAGGAACACAGTGGAGCGGCGCCGCTCCTCCAGCCGCCGGTCCTTGGCCGGGCCCGGGCCGCCGAACGCGAGCCCCGGGCCATCGCCCGCGCCGTAGTCGAGGCCACCCGGGCGCGGACCGCGGTGGGTCGGGGAGGGCTCGCGGGCGAAGCTGCCGCCGCCGGGACCGGGGCTGCCCACGGCCAGGGCCGCGCGCTCCTGCGCGTCCTCCACCTGCAGCTGCTTCACCAGGGGGCTCTTGCGGCGCTGCGGCTTGGACGGAGCGAAGAGGCTGGCGCTGAAGGCGCCCAGGTTGGCGTAGGGGCTGTCGGGGCCGGGCGGCCGCGGCCGGCGCTTGGGTCGCTCGGGCGGGGTGGCCGCGGGCGGGGGTCGAGGGGCGTCGCCCGACTCGGGCGCCGAGTCCTGCAGGATGATCATGGAGCGCGCGCGCTTCTGCCGCTCGGGATACGGCAGCGGGCCGAGGGCCGCGCCCGGCTCGTACAGGCCGGCAGCGCCCGCGCCCAGGCGCGCCTCCAGGCCGGGCTTGAAGCTGGAGCGCACCGTGTCGTAGGCGCGGCCCGGCGGGGGCGGCGGCGAGAAGGCCGGGGGCGGCCCCGAGTCGAAGTAGTAGGGCGCGGGCGGGGGAGGCGGCGCGGTCTGCGGCGGGGGCGGGATGCCGCGACCCTCGCGCACCGGGTCTTGCATCGAGGTGCTCCGCGGGAAGCGCCCTTCCAGCAGGGACGCCAGCTTCTCGTCCTCCCCTGCGGACGGAAGGGCCGGTGAGACCAGCCAGGGCGCTGGGCGGGGGGTGGTGCTGCCTTCGGAGAGGTTCCTGGGGACCCCGGCAACCCCCTCCCACAGAGGCCAGCCTTGACCCGACTCCACCCCGGGGAAGCCACCGTCCGGACACAATGGACGCCCGCGGCAGAACCCGGCGCGAGGAGCTAGAATGCTCGGGAAGATGGGGTTGGGACCCGTGGTGGGCGGGGAATGGAGGGCAGGGGAGAAACAGGGAGCCCAGAGCCCGGGCTCCGAGCAAGACCCTGGTCTGGGCTGGTCCCTGGATGCCCAAGCTCTGTGCCCCAGGCCCAGGGCTGCACGGGGAGGGCTCTTGTGAAGAGGACAGGAGAGAGGTGTGCGTTCAGTTACAGGATGGAGGAGGGCCCCACCGGGGACCCCTGAGAAAGGACACAAACTCTGACGGCCTGGGTTGGGGCCAAGACCTGCCCAAACCCAGGGTCATCAAGCAGGCCCTGAGAAGATATCCCAGAAAGGCAGGGACAGCCCCGCAAGACATGGGGACAGAACTGCTGAGGGGCTTGGAGGGGCCAGTACAGGGCTCCCCACCCCAGAATCAACAAGGCCGACGCAGAAGTACCAGCCCTGGAGGCAACCAGAGGTGAGAGGAAGATAGTCGGAAATGAGCAGGAGTGACACACTGGCAGGGTGAGGGGCAGCAGGGCTGTGGCCACTGGAGCCAGGCCTCCAGCAGAGAAAGACCTAATGCCCACCCAGGTAAGGAGGTGCCCTGTGGAGGAAGCCTTGAGAGGCTCCTCCCAGAGACCCGCATGGGTGAGTGGGTGAAGGGAAGAACGGACGGATCAATCAAAATGGAACTGCAGGCTGAGCACCCAGCATGTTTCATTTTAACCCCTACTGGCAGCGTGACCCCAGGCCAGGCCCTGAGCCCCTTTGAGCTTCAGTAACCCCCCTCTGCATGCCTTGCTCAGACATCATTGTTAGGGTCCTGTGCAGGGGCTGGAGTGCTCAGGGCCCTCATGCTCCTGCTGTCCAGCAGAACCTGACACAACCTCCTGAACACCCCTGTGGACATCATGATGCGGACACACGTGCTGCAGGTGTGTTCAGTGAGGCTGCAGGGGGCGGACGGCCCCACACCCACACACCCAGGTCTCGTGGTGCTCCTGTTCCCAGCCTCACTCTGAGATTGGTCAACATTTTTATGAACTCGCTAAAATACAGACTGCCTGTTCCTGATCGCATCCTCCTCCAGCCACCGCAGTGCTAATGAGGCCTCCAGTACTACACTGCTTCTTGCTGGGCATAATATCTCTTTGTAGCCAAGGTACCAAGGGTGGGCTTTTGTGTACAGACCTAGGCTTGAATTTTAGATCTGCCAGGAACTTCAGAAGCCTCTAGGAACTTCAGTTTCCTCATGTCAAGAGGACAGCCTGCAACTATTGTGGGGCGATTTCACCTTTACAGTGCAGGGCTGAACTGCAGCAGTATCCTGGGAATGGGGGAAGGGGGCCGAGGTCATCATCATCGTGATTTTTAGGTCTGCCTTCCCCCCATCCCCAACCGCTGGACAGAGAAATTGTGCCCAGTTCGTCCTGGGTCTCCTGCTGCATTCCCTGCACTGTGTATGAACACGCAGTGAACACCCACAGCCTATGTGTTAGATGGAGCGACGCAGAATGAGCGCACCTTGAGGATGCAGAAGGCGGGAGTGACGTGCAAAGATGAAATAAGGGGAAACTTAATGCTAATAGCATGCCAAGTTCTGACTTAGGGTAAAGAAAAGTCACTTGCCTCAGCATGGAATGGGGAATCTGTTCTGATACCATCTGGGGCGGGGGTGGGACCCCTTGGGGGCAGAGGCAGACCCTCTTTGTCTGCCTAGGTCATAGCAGAGAGCATTTCTCGAGCACCCACTGTGTGCCAACCTCAAGAGGCAGCATCTACGTCTACTAACACTGGCAGCTGCTGAGCACTCCCAGCATGCCACGCGGTCTGTGAGTGCCATCTACCGGGGGAGACTCAGAGTGGTCCTTGGAGGTGGGTAATAGGTGGTCTCCATGTTTATGGATCAAAATCCTGATGTTTCAAGGGCTGCATCGTGTGCCCAGAGCAACAGAGCCAGGGCATGGGGCAGGGGCCTGGGGAGTCTGACAACCCAACCAATGTGCATGCTGGCAGCTGAGGCCCAGCAGGCCAAGAGGAGCCAAAAAGGAGCACCTGTCCACCCATCCATCAACCGAGTACAAGAGGGTGCCTGAGGGACCAGTGCAGAACTGGCAGTCCTAGGAGAGTGGCTCAAGGCCTGCAGGGCAGGTGCATGGACCTAGACCTGCAGGGTCGGGCCCAGGAACAGCAAGAGTCAGAAGACCCAGGTCAAGGGAGGCAGAGACAAATGTTTCCAGATGAAGCAGGAGAGCACTGGGGCCGATCTCCAGGGCCCTGAGGCAATGAGGAGTGCACAGAGGGTCAAGCTGGACGGATATGGGGTGATAGCAGCTCTGCGGAAAGCCTGATTTGGCCAGAGGGATGGACCAGAGGGCAGAGCCAGGGCAGGCAGTCATGAGAACAAAGCCATGGTCCAGCTGCAAGGTGATGAGACCTGTGCAGGGCAGGGCTGTGAGGCCACCCACCCCGACACATCAGGTGAGGCAGAGGATAAGAAAGAAACCATGGAAGACACTCAGTGTTTAGGCCAGGGAGAGCAGGGGAGAGCGCTTCTCAGCTCCAAAGTAGCTGCAGCCTCACCAGCCTTCTTCCCCACAATCCCACCTACAGAAATAACTCTTGGCAGTCTCTGAGGGACCAGGTCACACACCCATATGCCTTTTCCACACTGCTCTGTCAGTTCACCCCATTATCGCCCAGAAACTCCCATTTATCTTGCACATCTTAGCTCAAAAGTACCCCCACCCCGACACACACAGCCTTCTGTGACACCAGGTGTGCTTGGAGCCCCCCAGTGGGCTCCATTGGTCCGTGAGCCCTGGCACCCACAATGTGCCCGCTGAGCTCTCTGCACACGTCACATTCCCTAACCAAGCCCCAGACTTGGCCCAGGATCGGCCTTGTGTGAACACAAATTGGCAGGGTCCTGAGGCAGGTGAGGAATCCGAGTTTGGGCAGCTGTGTGATCTTGGGCAGGTCATTTACCCTCCTTGCTTCAGTTTTCTCATCTGTAAAATGGAGGTACTAGTGGTCTCAACCTCAATATGGTTATTCTAAGTATTAAATGCTCAGTGTCCAGCCCGTAGTAAGTGCTGAGAGGTTTACTCCTATGTGTAACAGATGGGAGGTGTGCTGGGGTTTGTATGGACAACGGACGGTCAAGTGGGCAGGTGTGTGGGTGGACAGATGCACAGGTGGGCAGGGGACGGGAGAGTGGATGTCTGGAGGGATGCACAGTGGGCAGGGCTTGTTACATGTCCCCATCTGGGTCAGGAAAGGAGACGGTGAGTGTGGAGTGTGATGGTGGCTGGGGAGTGGTGAGGCACAGAGGGGAAGGAGGCTGAAGACACAGCCTTGAAAAGGTCCCATATTTGGGAGGCTGGGGCGGCAGGGTTGAAATAGGTGCCATCTGAGAAAGGAGGGGAAAACCAGTAAGTGTTGTCCTAAAGCTTTGGGGAGGAGCGTTTCACGGAAGAAGGAGCAAAGAAACCAAATGCCAGCTGAGGTCAGCAGGAGTGCTGGCCATGCATCCATGGGGAGGAAGGCCCTGGAGGCCGCCGGTGACCCTGGTGGGAGCAGTTTCAATTTGGGTATGGAGAGAGGAAGTCTGCCGCAGGCTGAGGAGCCGGTGGGGGACGGGAGACAAGATGGACAGTAGAGGTGACTTTTTGGGGAAAACTGGCTGTGAAGGGGGGAGACAGCAATACATGGAGAAGTAGGGGAGAGGCAAGTTCAGGGGGTTTGAGGGTCAGAAACTTCACATGCACTTGGGCTGCAAGGGAGCAACCGCGATGGAGGCAGCTGAGCTGGGGACAGGGATGAGGCTGCCCATGGGAAGGATGAGAGGTGATGGGGAGGTGGGGGTGCCCAGTGGACAGGGAGTGGCAGCTGGGGACAGGGATGAGGCTGCCCATGGGAGGGATGAGAGGTGATGGGGAGGTGGGGGTGCCCAGTGGACAGGGAGTGGCAGCTGGGGACAGGGATGAGACTGCCCATGGGAGGGATGAGGCGATGGGGGGCGGTGCCCACTGGACAGGGAGTGTCGGCTGCCGGGGGAAAGCTCTGGGTTGGGGAAGGCCTAATCCCCACATGTCCATCAACGTATGAGATCCTTTAGCTGGGGCCAGGAAGAGACAGGACTGAGAGGGAAACTGGAAACCCCAGTTATGGGCAGAGAGAGGCAGTGTCCTTCAAACCCAAGTCCACCCTGCCGGCCCCAGCCCCGTTCCTCCCCACCCCATGCAGCCCCACAGCGCAGCCATACCTACAGACTTGGTCCGTGGAATCCCCTTCCGCAAGGAGCCCGGCAGCTTCTCTGGGCCTGGGAGGCCCTGGCGTTCAAACAATGACTGTGGGGGTCAGGGAGGGGAATATGGAGGTTCCAGGGCACTGGGGGCCCCCAGTCCTCCTCCTAAGCCAGAGGTGAGACACCCCACGCTCTCACTCCAATGGCACTAGTGCCTGTGGGTGCCTGGACCCAGGAATCACGTCTGGACTCTGCCCTCAGGGAGCAGAGGATGCAGCCCATTGGAGCCTGGGCTGTGTGGGCAGTGCAGATGGTGGTACAGTGTAGACGGTGTTGGGCAGGGTGGGTGCAGACCCTGGCCGACCCTGGGTGAGGGTGGGGGAGGAGCCTAGAAGGCGCCGGGTTGGCAAGTGGGCAGGGAACAGAGACATGCTTTGTCGTGTTCTCAGCGGAGCTGGGGTACCTTGGTGGTCTCAGGCGTGAGACAGGGACTGCCTGAAGGCAGAGGCACCAAAAGCTACAAGAGCAAACCCAGCAGGTGCTGAGCTGTGGCCATTTAGGGGGCAGAGACAGCCCCAAGAGTCTCTGAGAGAGGCCATGGGGTGCACACACCCCTCTGGAGAGGGGTCCACATGATAGGCTCTCACCTCCGTCAAGAGGGCCCAGGACAGTCTGACCCCCATGCCTGCCCGACCCAGCGCTCCCAGCCGCCCGTGGCCCTTACGCTAATCTCGGCGGGTGTGATCCTCCGACTGGTGGGCCTCTGTTTGACGGTGGCGGCTCTGGAGTCTGCGTCTGCGATGTCTGGCCGCAGCGTTGGCTCTGCGGCGGCTGCCAGCATCTCGTCCAGCTTCTCTGCACAGCAAGGAGGCTCCATCTCAGCTGCCTGGGCCACCTCCTGCCCCACTGCCATGTCCTCCCCAACCCGGCCACCCGTGATGCTGACAGAGGCCACCGCTCCCCTCCCTCCTTGAGCTCCCACCCCAGGCTCCCAAGACAAGGCCCTCACCCCAGAACTCAGACCCCACCCCAGGCAGCCTCTCTAGCCTCAAGGAGACTCCAGGTGACCCTGTGGACCTCACTTAAGGAAAGGCCACTCTGACCATGAGGGAGAAGACCAGGGCACAGGACAGACAAACGATTCAGAGACCACAGTCTCCCTGGATTTCCCTCCATTTCCCTTCGTCCTGTCACTGTTCTCAGCACATACAGGCCACTCTTGGCTATCTGTACCGCACTGGAAGGGAAGCTGTTCACAGCGGGTCACAGCCCGAGGACAGACCCTGATGTACAAGCAGGTTTCCACAGAAGATCAAAGTGACTTGGAAACTGTTAAACTAATACGTGTATCTCAGGACCATCAGAGCCCTGGTTGGATGGCTCCCCCAGGACATAAGCAGCTCTCGCCCCCTGTGGGTCCACTGAGGACCAGTGCGTGCAGCATGCAGCAAGGGCTGGGGCAGCACTCATGTCCACCTGGCTGCTGCACCGGCCCTCTCATTCAGCAGCCCCACTGCACCCCACCCATCACTCAGGCTGCACCCAACCCCAAGCCCTTCTCCACTCTTTGGGGCTATGCCAACCCTAGAGGGACCACTGTCTGGCCACACTTGTCTTGGCACCTTTCACTCTTGTCTTGGCCCCTTGTTGGAGAATTTCAACGGTCAGACTGGACACCTCCTACTCCTTCCAACTCCAATCTGCAGCTGTTCACAGCACCTGCTGATTCTACCTCTGCAATCTGCTTAGCATTGCTGGAAGGAAGGAAGGAACTCCCCAAGCTTAGCATTGCTGGAAGGAAGGAACTCCCCAAGACTGTCCTGTACCCAACCCAGACCAGACCCACCCTGTACACTGACTCTGTCCTGACATAACCTCTTTGTGACCTCTGTGTCCTCATTGATAAAACAGGCATAAAAACAGTGCTCGCTCACGTGTCTCTAGTGAGAATTAGCACAGAAGAAAGGCTTACAACTGTGCTGGCACTGGACACAATTCAGTACAATTCATGTCTGTGTGCCCCATCTCCCCAGACAGCTTCCGGGTCTGCAGAACAGAGCAAATACTGTTCTCTGTGTTCCATCAGCGCCCAGCCTGTGTCCTGAACGATACAAGAGTTTACCAGCAAAACAGGCTCCAACTGCAGATATCTGGGCCTGTGCACAGCTCCCAGTGCCACCAGGTGACAGGGGCCCAGGTACAGACCAGGGGCTGCTGGTTTGAGGGGACTTCTCATTTGCTTTTGTCATGAAGTGAATGATTTCTTTTTGGGAGTTGAAGTCACCATTGCCACCATCTGTTAAGTTCTTGGTGATTTCTAGAGTATGCGGGACTTTATGCAAACCACTCCTCTCATCCCACAACTACACGAGGATTTTATCATCACCCTTATCCAACCCAGGAGCAAACTGAAGCGAAATTGCCATAAATCTCTGACTAGGAAGTAAGAGATGAGACTTAAGCACCATACTCCCCGGAAACTGCAGAAGTAAAGATATGAATGGAGAGAAAACTCCGTGAGGCACACACGGCTCAGCATCATGGGAGACACGTTGCCGCCTGAGCCACGGGCTAGGAGAGGCTGTCTCTCTAGGTCTGGAAGACCCATCCCAGAGACCCACAGCGGGACGCACATAACGTTTAGTGAGCAGCTGTTTCTGGTCATCCGGCGATGGTGCTGGAGCCGGGTGAGAAGTGTTTTCAAAAGGGAAAGGATTCATCAAGAATTCTGCAAATTACAAACTGATGAGGTTGACATAAATCTCCCCCCAATATTAGAGGATATATTCTTAAATAAATAATTTTAGATAATTAAGGGAAACAAAGCCCATCAGGAACCAAGTGGACCCGCTCACTCCCAGGGCCCTCTGGGTGCACAGCAGGACACAGCTGGGTTTGCAGCTGTTTGATCAACAGGGCCCCAGCCTGCGGGATGATCAACCAGCCATCACTTCTTCCACAACTGGAGCAGCACCTGGGCTGCAACACAGCACCCTGGGAGCCCCACTAACGAGCTAGAGGGCAGAGCCAGAAGATTCCAGAAATAGCTTGTATGTCTGCCCCAAAGGCATGCAGAAAAGGTCACTGGAGGAGACCTTGTCACCTGTTTTTAATACCTGAGAAGACACTGGGGAAGCCCTTCACCTGGGCTGGGGCAAGAGGCAGCAAGGGGACCTCAAGAGGGCTGGGCCAAGGGCCTGGCAGATGTGTCCTCACCCAGGGAAAGCCCAGTGGGTCGAGAGAGAGGGAGGGATGGGCATCAGGTACACGGACGTGGAGCAAATATACAGGCCTGGGTGGAGAAAGCCACCTCAAGCCTCTGTCTGGGCCCTGATTCCCATCCACCCGAGAGGCAGAGGAGGCTGCCGGAAGCCGGGTCCCAGGACTTCACCAGACAGTGGACCTCAGTACCCAGGCCCAGGTGACTGTCCCCACCTGAATGCGCCCTCCCCTGCAACCAGGCTGAACATAAAGGACATACAGGGAGCAGCCCCAAAGGGTAGAGGGAGGCCTGAACGGGGGTTCAGGAGGGTAGTCAACAGCCTGGGGTCTTTGGCCAGGGGAGCTCCAAGCTCCTTCCCCAGTGCTGTGGGACTCAGACCCCTGCTCTGAAGGGACCATCAGCTCTGGGCTTGGCCCTACAACCAACCAGCACGGGAGTAGGTCCCACAACCCAAGCACAGGCCCCGAGAGGACCAGCAGAAAGAAGCAACGTGCACGCCAACACGGCCCAGTCTCCCTGCTCCCTAGAGCTCCCCCTCTGGGACCCTCGGAGCCCTTTCCCTCCTGCTGTCCGGGCCATGGTGCATGCAGTGGCCTCCACGGGGCTCTCCCAGCTCCTCCCCACGGGCTGCCTCCATCAGGCTATCTGCACAGCTCACAGGCCCCAGGCTCACCTGAGCCCCCAAGGCCATCACAGTCTCAGAGGGTCACACCCCTGGGAACTCCCCATCCATCCTTGCAGGCCCTTCTCTCATGCCCCTACCAGATGCCCAGGGAGAAGGCCAACAGGAGGGTGCAGCCCAGGCTTCCAGGCCACCCTGACTTGCGCTGGAACCTCCTCACACACCAGCACTCCCCCAGACAGGGGTCAGGCAAAGCCAAGGCCCTGGGGACACAGGCAGATGACTCACCCCCTTTTCTTCTCCGAATGGAGGCTTGGAATCAAGAAACAGAGTAAAGGGAGTAAGAGGCAGGCTCGGCACCCGGGCCCCATTATCCACACTCATTTCCCCACCCCATCCCTCTCACCACCACCTCCCCCAAAAACCATGACCTCCCAAATCTGCCCCCAGCCTACACCTCTTTATCAGACCGTGAATAGCAAATCTGCCCAACTCTGGAGTCAGTTGGTACATGCCTTGAAAGCCAAGGAGGAAACAACCACAAGCAGGGACTTGTGTGTGTGTGCCACATGCATGCAGGTGCACACAGCGCATGTCCACTCACCCACGCACAGACATGTGTGCTGCATGCACGCAGGGGCACACAGCGCGTATCCGCTCACCCACGCACACACGTGTGCCACACGCATGCAGGCGCACACTGCATATCCGCTCACCCACGCACAGACGTGTGCCACACGCATGCAGGCGCACACAGCGCGTATCCGCTCACCCACGCACAGACGTGTGCTGCATGCACGCAGGTGCATACAGCGCGTATCCGCTCACCCACGCACACACGTGTGCCACACGCATGCAGGTGCACACAGCGCGTCTGCTCACCCACGCACAGACATGTGTGCCACACGCATGCAGGCGCACACAGTGCGTATCCGCTCACCCATGCACACACGTGTGCCACACGCATGCAGGTGCACACAGCACGTGTCCACTCACCCACGCACAGACATGTGTGCCGCATGCACGCAGGTGCAGACAGCGCGTGTCCGCTCACCAACGCACAGACACGCACACACACACAGATATGCACAACTCCATCATGCTTGGCTCAGTCAAACGTTTGTTCAGAAAAAAGGCAAAACCCCATAGAAAACAAGTTCAGGTGTCGCTGAAAATTAAGGTGGTCACCTCTGTGTTCTGTTCAAAGTCGGTCTTAAAAGGCAGGGCAAGTGTGTTTGGCACAGAAACCTTTTCCAGGACAAGGCCACTCACATAGATGCTGGGTGTGGCACCTACCCTGATGTTCTCATCACAAAAGAAAAAGGGGCCCAGAAATTACAGGGAAGTCCAGAGTTCTCCCGGGAACGTGAATACACAGGAAGGGCTTGGACCCGCCACAGGGCCTTCCCTGGCCTGGGTCTCCACTGACCTGTGGCCCCAGCACATTCCTGGTACAAACCGAGCAGACATGCATGTGGCGACCATGAGGAGCCCCCAGTGCTGAGGGGAGGAGGGGTGTTCTGCCCTCTTCTCTCTCTCACCACCTATCTCAGGAGGGTCCCCACCCAGCCCCTTCCTCTCACTCCCAGCTCTGCAACCCTCCATTTTCCAGGCACCAGCCTTTGCTCACCCCATTCCCCCACAGGATACCCCTTCCCTCCCCTTCCTCCAACAGGGCCATGCCTCTCCCACATCCTCCGAGCAGCAAACAGCCACCTGGACAGGAGCCTCCGACTTGCACCTGCTTTCTCTGACACCTCACTTTCTTTTCTTTTTAGGTGTCCAGGCACCTTCTCGATAGACTATGGATCCTAAAGGGCTCTAATAGCTCTTGACAGTGTGAGGCAGTTCTGATGTGTTCATGCCAGCAGTGACCAACAGGCCTCATTTCTATCTTCTGAAAGCAAAAACACTGGGTTGTGGGATGGTCCCTTAGGTACCTGGGGAAACCCTGATGCTGGCATGGCGTCCTCAAATCAGGCATTTCCAGAGGGGACTTCCAGAAGCCCTGCTGGCTTCCCAGGACAGCTGTCTTCTGGGGACAGGGTGGCTTCCTGAGCTCCAGAAGTGTGGGTAGAGGCTCTGCGCTAAGCTGTCCCTTCATCCTCCCCCAGACTCTGCTCAGAAAAAAGCCTGGAAAATTATGGTGGCCTGAAGCTGTGAGCAACTCCTCTGGAAGACCGGGCTCTGCAAAGTGACTCCAGCAACCTGTCCTGAGGCTTGTTGCAGAAGAGGGAACACTCAGCCCAGAGGGGAGGGAAAGGAGCGTCTTCATTCACCAGTTTCTTCAGGCAGAAAAGCCCAGAGAGCAAAGCGCAGTCCTTCCGTTTCCATAGGGCAGAGTCCCTGGGTCCCAGGATTACGGATCTCAGGCTGCCCAAAAGCCCCGTGGTGCTGAATAGAAGAGTCCCTTCTGAACATGCAGCTGACTGTGGCTATGTGACAGCCTCTGGCAGGAGAATCCTGGGACCCAGCTGCCTACTGGTGCTGGCTTATTGATCAGTTTGGATCTTCAATTGACAGGTCAGCTCCCCGTGACTGACCTTGGACCCTCATGACCCGAGTGCCAGAGGTCTAGGATTAGCCTCTCTGCCTCACTCCTGAATGAGCAGGATTAGCGGGGTATAGAATTCTAGGTGGAAAAGAATTTTGACTCCACACTTTGAAGCTCTTCTTCCATCATCTACTGTCATCTGCCACTGCTGATGAGAAGTCTGTTGTCAGTTGGACCACTGCTCCCGTCTAAGACATCCAGCAGCCCATCTCTCTCTCTCTCTCATCATTTTTTGCTTTGTTTTGTTTTGAGACAGGGTCTCGCTCTGTTGCCCAGGCTGGAGTGCACTGGCATGATCTTGGCTCACTGCAACCTCCACGTCCCAGGCTTAAGCAATCCTCCCACCTCAGCCTCCTGAGTAGCTGGGACCACAGGCACACACCACCATGCCAGGATAATTTTTGTATTTTTAGTAGAGATAGGGTTTCGCCATGTTCCCCAGGCTGGTCTCAAACTCCTAGACTCAAGTGATCCACCTGTCTTGGCCTCCCAGAGTGCTGAGAGTACAGGCATGAGCCACCGCACCCAGCCTCTCTCATTGTTTTAAAGATTTCTGCTTGCTCACAGCATTCTACAGTTTTACTATGAAAGATGTGGATACAGATTTGTTTTTATTTCCTTGCTGAGACTTATATTTCTTTAAACTGAAGACTCATGTCTTTGTTCAACTTTCGGAAATTCTTAAGCCATCTCATCTCCAAATATTGCCTCCAGGCAACATTTTATTTTTGCTTCCACGCCTTGCATTAGGTAGATGCTGGGATTTTCCCAATAGTCCCATTGAATTATCTATGTGATTTTTGTGTGTGTGTGTCCTAACTGCTCTTTGATATTTTCTATCTCCTTATATTTCTGTGCTATATTCTGGGTAACCTCAGATTTATCTTCTAACTTGCTGTTTCTTTCTTCACCTGGGTCTAGTGTACTGTTTATCCCAGGCATGGCTTTCTTTTTTATCTCAGTGACTACACTTTTTGTTTCAATAACAGTTCTTTAAGAATCCTTCTGGCTGGGCGCAGTGGCTCACGCCTGTAATCCCAGCACTTTGGGAGGCCGAGGCAGGTGAATCACAAGGTCAGCAGTTCGAGACCAGCCTGGCCAACATGGTGAAACCCCATCTCTACTAAAAATACAAAAAATTAGCTGGGTGTGGTGTTGTGCGCCTGTAATCCCAGCTACTCAGGAGGCTGAGCCAAGAGAATCACTTGAACCCGGGAGGCGGAGGATGCAGTGAGCCGAGATCGCGCCACTGCACTCCAGCTGGTAATAGAACGAGACTCAGTCTAAAAAAAAAAAAAAAAAAAAAAGAATCATTCTAAAATGTGCTTATTCTTTTTTTGCTTGTTTGTTCTGTCCTATTCTCTCATTAGTTCTGTTAGTTCTTTTAATCTTTGTGACAATTTACTTTATTTTAATGTTTTTCATATTCTTCTCTGATTTCCAGTTCTTTCGAAGCTAATTCCAGTGGTTGGGCTTGGTTTTTAACCTTCCCGCTTCTCACAGGTCCAGCCACGTCTCCCAGCCTTGTGGGGGCCTCAGGACCCCAACCCCTTGCCCCTGCGTACTAGATAACGAGCTATGGAAGCCTCTGGCTTTGGTTTCTCTCCTTTTCATTCTGAATTATCTACATGGGGTTTTTTGTTTTTTTCTTTGGGTTTTATTTTATTTGGAATAGCTATGGTGAAAATTCTGACCACGTCAGCCCAATGGACGTTGGTAGCTGTTCTCCACCCTGAACTAAACTGCAGTTAAGACCACCTGCTTGGCATGGGGCAGCTCAGCCTGTGGCAAGGACAGGGTCAGGGCTTGGTTCATGAGTGAGGTCAGGGATAATTCTGGGGACCAGGAAAAGGGTTCCTTCTATGGCTGGGGTAGAACCAAGACTGAAGCCAGGGATAGGGCTCAGCCTAGAACCAGAATGGGGTCCCTTCCTGTGGCCAGGACTTCAGGGTTCAGTTTAGGACCAAAGTTGGGGTTCCTTCTATGACCAGAGGCAGAGTTAAGTCTGGGAACAGAACTGGGCTCAGATCACAGAAAGAAAGAGCCTCACGCCTGTAATCCCAGCACTTTGGGAGGCCGAGGCAGGCAGATTACCTGAGGTCAGGAGTTCGAGACCAGCCCGGCCAACATGGTGACACCCCGCCTCTACTAAAAATACAAAAAAAAAAAAAAAAAAATTAGCCGTGCATGGTGGCGGGTGCCTGTAATCCCAGCTACTTGGGAGGCTGAGGCAGGAGAATCACTTGAACCCAAGAAGTGGAGGTTGCAGTGAGCCGAGAACGTGTCATTGCACTCCAGCCTGGGCAACAAGAGTGAAACTGTCTCAAAAAAAAAAAAAAAGAAAAAAAAAAAGAAAGAAAGAGCCTGTCAACTGTCACGTACAGTGGGACATGCCCATGACGAGGCTGTTGATGGCCACATGTATAGCACATACCCACAGTGAGGACAACGGTCACACGTAATGGGACAGTCCCATGAAGAGGCTACTGACTGTCACGTCAGGACATGATCAAGTATATCTGGACGTGCACATGACAAGGTTGTTAATGGACACATATATAAGACCTGCCCATGAAGAGGCTGTTGATGGTCAACCAGGGCTTGTGCCCAGAACATGCCCCATCAAACCCCAACACACTCCTGCTCCCCTCCTGCCGCGCTCGAGGCCCTGCCCCATCATCCCACCGACAGTACTCCTGTGGCCTGTGGGGTCAGCAGGGCCACCTGTCAATGAGTGCACAGTCACCAAGAGGGTAAAATAAACACAGAGCTGACACAGCCAGTGCCTGGCAGAGCCAGCAGCAGACCCTGGTCACCTCACTACCGCTCTCTCCTCACTTGGATGAAATGCAGGAGTAAAGTCAAAGTGGAGACGTGGAAAACCAGAGGCAGCACACGCACACACATGCACACACATGCAAACATACTGGTGGGCCAGGCCCTGCTCCCCGTCATCTGTCCTGGACACCCCACTGTCCATCCCCAGCCTCTCACATCTCACCCCTTCCACATGCCACCCTCTCCTCACCCCACAAGCACCAAATTTCCCCATCGCGCCAGCACCCACCCATTCACCTCTGACCTGCTCTTGTACCCACCTGTCCTTCCTACCCTCTGGCTGGACCGCCTGCCCTCCCGTACCACCTGTGTCTCCCGGCCCTGTCTGCCCATCATGGACCGTCCACCTGCGTCCACCTCCACCGCCACCCCCGCCACTCACCAAGTTCCTCGAGCTCAGCTGTCATGGACTTGGAGCGCAGGGTCAGTGTGGTGCTGGGGGCCCTCTTGGGGGGCGGTGGGGCTGCAAAGAAGAGGGAGGCCTTGGACCTCCTGTCCAGCAGCAGGCGGCGCGGCGTGGCCAGGTGCAGGTGCCACTTGCGCTCCACCGCCTGGATCTCCTCGTACTCCCGCGAGGATGAGTCGCACTGTGCCAGGATCTTGTTCAGGTTACGGCTGGACGCAAACTTCTTCATGGCTCAAGGAGCTCAGGGAGTGCGGGGGGGGGGGGGCGGGCGGTCAGGGCCTCAGGGGCCCTGGGAACCCCCAGAATCAGGGCCTCAGGAGACGATCAAGGGTGCTGGCGGGGGTCACGGTGCCGGCTGGCTCTGGCCTGAGCACCCACCCTGCAGGCTTCGAGGGCTAAGCAAGGGGGCACCAGAGCCATGGGGTGGGGGCTGGGAGGGGTCTCCTTGCGGGCGGGGCTCCTGCTGCTCCAGGGCTCCCCCCAGGCCCGGGTGGCCACTGCCCCTTGTGGGGCCAGGGTGTGGTCAGCCAAGCCACGGGCCTGGGCTGGGCCTGGCCGGCAAAGCCTCCTGGGCCCAGGCTGTGCCGCGTCGTCGCGGGGAGAAGACGCTTTTCCTCTTCCCTCAGGTGCCGCCTCCCCCTTCCCTCCGACAATAAGCAGCGCGGCAGCGTCAACCTCACAGTTGCTATGGCAACCCCGGCCTCCAGGCAGCTGCTGGCGGTGTAGGGAAGGAGGGCTCTGCCACGCCAGGGGCTGGGGGAACGCCGGGAAGGAGGGGGCAGGGATCTGAGGAGGGGCAGCCTGAGGTCAGGGGTCAGGGGTCAAAGGCCTCAGGCCAGGGGACAGGACTGGCAGTCTAGCACCAGGGATCGGGAGGGGTCCCAGCCCACACGTGTGGGTGGTTCATTGAGGTTCAGGAATCTGATGTCAGCAGTTGGGGGTCAGGGATGGGAAGAGGAATGTGGGCCTGAAGTCAAAGGTCTAAGGTCAGGGGAAAGTTTGGGCACAGAGGCCTGAAGCGTGACCCCTCACCTCTGCGCCGAGCCCCGTCCTCTTCTGGCTTCCTTGTCACAGACACAACCTTCATGACGAGGCGGTTGCCACCCTGGCGAATCAGAGCCACCACCTGCTTGTGTCCGACCTTCACCACGTTCACCCCGTTCACCTGGGATAGACAGGCAGCTGGGTGGGGACGCCCCAGGCACGTCCACCACAGGGCTCAGGGCTCAGCATCCCACTGGGCAGCACCGGCCAGAACGACCTCACCTCGATGAGGAAGTCTCCCGTGCGCAGCCCGGCCCTCCAGGCCACACCCTCCACGTCCACCGACTCGAGATACTGCAGCGCCGGGAAGGCTGGCGTGGGCGTGAACTCCTCGATGGGGGTCTCTGCTGCGGGGGGCAATTAGGAAGGCGCTTCACCAGCTAGGTTCGGGTGGGGGCGGCTGCCACACAGCAACCTCCGAGTGGCTCAGCACAGGAAAGAGATGACTGCGGGGGGCAGTGACCCGGGGCTGGGGGAGGGCCACGGGGAGCCACAGCGCAGGGACGAGCCGGCCCAAGGATCCTAGACATGACCCTCTGCAAAACTCCCTTTGCCCATGCCAGAAAAGCCCCCACTCGGTTAGACTCTAGAGCAAAGACAGTGGAAAACAACGAAGGGAAGGAATTGCCGCCTGGGCCGGGACGTTGCAAACCACGACGGTCGCGACCGAGCAGAGGAACCAGGAAAGCCGGGGCCAAAAGCGGGAGCCGCAGGGGCAAGGCAGGGAGGGAGTGTGGGGCAGAGCAGAGTTGGGGGCAGAAGCAAGAAGCTGAAGACATCCCTGAGCGGTGTGCAGCCCCTGCCTGCCTGACCCCCGGGCACCCACTCCCCATTACCTTTGGCTCCCCGGAGCACAAAACCAAAGCCCTCGTGGTCCCGTTTCTGCAGGACAGCCACTTTGTCATCAATGACATAATCGCTGATGAAGGAAAGCAGGGAGGAGTGAGGTAAGCCCTGCCTCGAGGTTGGCCGGCCACAGTCCACCCTGCAGTCACCCCGGGACTGACAGGCCGGGCAGCAGAAGAGAGGTCGGCCAGGCACATTCCCTTGCCCTCCTCTGACCTCTTCATACCTGGCCTCCCTCTACACTGCAGGTCCTGCCCCACGTCCCACATGCATGCTCCCGCCAGCCAGGGTCCCTGCACGTACCTGTGTGAGGTGAGGCTGTCGTAGGAGCCCACTGTGTAGTGCCGAAAGAGCCGCTTCGTCCGGTCCTCCCGCGTTTCTGAAGGGAGTATCGGGAGCTGATGGACAGTCGTGGCCTCCAGCTGGCCTGCCTCAACTGCCCTCACCCATGCTGGTCACCAGTCTCTGCCCACACACACCCCCTTGGCCTGGTTGTGTCCAGATGGAAGTAGGGGGCCCCAAATCCTGGAGTCCTGGGTCCAGAGGTAAGAAGGCTGAGGGGATGATGTAGGGAATTCTGACCTCCGTGGGTCAGGGCCCAAGAGGGGGCAGCAGCTCATCTCTTTCCTAAGTAGCTGCTGAACCAGGAGTCCAAACAAGGCCAGAGCCGTCCACAGAGCGTAAGTGAGCCCCAAGGCTGCGAGCAAAGAGGGGGGTGTGCACATACGTGTGTGTGTGAGAGATCCGTGGTCATGTGTAGATGCTGTGCTCATGCACGTGTCTCTATATGAGCCCACTGTGTGCAAGTGCCGTGCTCATGTGTCTGTGTGACCTGCCGTCATGTGCGTGTGAGGTGTGTTCATGCATGTGTGTGTGCACATCTGAATCTGCATTACCCACACTCATGTACAAATGCCGTGCTATGTGCCTATAGGCGCTGGCATGGAAGCAGCGTTCTGTCTTCACCAACTTCTTCACAATAGCTCCTTGATGCTCAACCTCATGGGGTCCCTTGCTTCAGACTAACTGTGAGTGGGGCAGGGGATCTAGGTGTGTGGGCTGGGTCCCCTGCCCTGACCTCGATGCATCCCACAGAGCTTGGTCCCCAACTGTCCTCTTGATCTCAAGTCCCACATGGCCAGCACCAAGCTAGCCAGCTGTCTGCCCACCACTCCACCCTCACTGACCTGAAGGTTCGAGCCACACCTCCAGCCATGACCTCTCTGCTCCCACGAGCTCCTCCAGCTGCCTGCGAGCCCCACCCACCAGCCTTCCCAGCCCCGCAGCTCCACTCTCCAGGACCGCAAAGGCCCCACAGGCAGCACCACCACTGCCTCGCTTTCATCCCTCAGCACCTTCCTCATTTCCTCTCTTGGTAGCATTTCTCAAGATCCATGTTTTCCTTCAGCAAGTATTTATTGAGCTCCTACTGTGTACCAGCTCTGCAAATACAGCAGAGAAGAGAACAAAGTCTCTGCACTCGTGGGGTTTATAATCTGTTCTGGGAGACAGGATAAACAGAGGATAAAGACATAGCATGCGAATGCTGGCAAGTGCTCAGGAGACCAGCGAGCAGATCAGGGAGGGCAGAGAAAGGCACGCAAAGGCCTCACCCCCACGGGAGGGCTGAGCAGAGGCTGAGGATGGGGAGCAGCCTGTGGATATGTGGGCAAAGGGCTTCCCAGGAGCGGGGGTGGTCAGGGGAAGCCCACGGCAGGCATCAGCCTGCAGCATTTGAGAGAGTTCAGAGCCTGTGCAGCTGGAGCAGAGGGAGCTAGAGAGAGTGGCAGGAAATGAGATCAGAAAGATAACCTGCAGCTTTCGATGACCTGTTTCCCCCACTAATTGTGAGCTCCTTGAGGGTAAGGGCCACATGTTCTTTATCTCTGTGATCCTAGCACCCAGCACAGCACCTGGCACGTCACAGGCATTCTGCATGCTGACTAGGAGAGTAAATGGTGGACAGGTGCATCTGAGATAGACGGACAGAAGGGATGCTGACTAGGAGAGTAAATGGTGGACAGGTGCATCTGAGATAGACGGACAGAAGGGTGGATTGAAAGGCACTGGACCAGTGGATGGAGGGAGGGAAGGAGAGGGCCATGGGTAGATAGGTCAAAGAGCAGACAGATACATGGGTAGATGGATGGATGGACTGGGTGTGTAGACAGGTAGGTGGAGAGGTGGATGGATGGAGGAAGGGAGGGGTGGTGGATTGGGTTGGCTGGTGAGTCAACGGTTAAGAAGATGATGGTGGGATGGGTGGGTGAGTCAAAGGATAGATGGCTGTAAACATAGGTGGAGCAGTGGCCGGACGGAAAGAGGAAAGAGTGCCTATTTCTATCAGAAGGCACAGATATCAAAAAAGTATCGGGCTGGATTCCAGGTCCCAGCTACTACGTTGTGTGACTCTCAGTAAGTCAACAGCCCCCTCTAAGCCCGCCCATATAGAATAGAGAAATCCAACTTGGAGGATCCCCTTGGTTCTGATGACCTATATCTTATCCTGGCATTCCCCAACCACACCTGCACCCCTCATCCCGCTGAACCTAAGGCCAGCTCAGGCCAAGCCTCATCACCACTCAGGTGGGGCATCAGACCCCTCCTTTCCTCCATCACACCCTTCTCCACGTCGACAGAGGCACGGAAGTGTCATGGTGCTGCCTGCTGAAGAACCCGCCACACTTGCACTTGACCAGCCTCCTGTTTTCAGATGTTGTCAACCAAACAAATTGTATGGATTACATAACACAAACTCATTTTTCCAGTTTTGTTAATAAGACACATAAAAGCCAGCTGAAGAGAAAATGCCCAACACAGCCATCTCCTACTACCCACCCAAGTGCTGACCTTACTGCAAAGAAAGGGAAGGAGGGAGGGGAGGGAAGGCACAGGGCCTGCTCCTGCTGGGCCTCCAGAACACACCTGACCTCGCTTCTCCATTCCCTCCCTCACAGCTCCACCCTCTGCCTGCCAGGAGGTGCCGTGGGAGACTGCTCTCTGCTGGGTAAGTGACCAGGACTCGCCTCCCGATCCCACAGCAGGCACCGGCTCTGGGCACCAGCCCCTGCACGCACAGGGACTATGTCCCCTCCCTAACCTTTAAGTCCTTTTCTGTCCCCACTCCAGTCCCGGAAATGGATTTTTTTGGGGGGTGGGGGGAGCAGATCTGGGCCTGTTGGAAGCAGGTTCCTGTTCCTGGGCTGCACTCTGGCCTCTGGCAGAACTCGGCCCCGGGATCCCAGAGCAGAGGCTCTGCGCAGTGTGGCCAGCAGGGCCTGCAGCCAAGGTCAGAGGGCACTGTCACTGCTCCCACTCCCTGCCCTTCGCAGGCAGCCTCCGCAGGTCCCTCTCCCGCTGCCCACTCATGAAATACTCCCGTCTACCCCGGGACCTCTGACACTCACTCCCCAGGTCACACACACCATGGCTGCTGGCTGGAGCCCAGACCTGAACCCTCCTCTCCATTGCTCTGCTCTGCCCAGCCCGGGCTTTGATCCTACACAACCTGCACAATCAGACACTGCGGCTGGGTTCCCTCCGCCATGATGCCACACTGTCACTTGACTCCATGCCACCTGACCACCCCGTGGTCCCCACACCAGCCTCGCCCCTCACCCCATGCAGGCGTTTCACTCACATAGAACTTGCTGCCTGTGTTGCAAACAAGACTTTGCCCCTCAGGGCCATGTGACCCCCTAGAAATGGAATAACAACAAGTGGCCCCACCTCTTGGGACTGCTGGGATGAGTCAACGACTTATACGTGTAGAAGTGCTAAAACTGTGCCAGGCACTCAGAGCAGGCCGTGCTGACACACAGCTGTAGAGCGCCACACGGACCCTGCACACACGGCTGTCCCCTCAGCCCCAGCCGCTGACCACCTAGAGGACTCAGCTCAGACAATGCCTCTGTTTTGAGGCCCTCTCTGACTCCTTCAGGCCAGCCCAGGGAGCTCCCACGCTCACACGGCCCCCGTCACAGCCACTGCTCCCACAAGGCTTCCAGCTGAGCCTCCGTGATCCCGGCTCCCAGCACAGGGCCCAGCACATGACAAACACCTAAAAAACATTTGCTGCTCTCCAATTCTGACTCCAGCCTAAACCCCCCTCCCTCCCCGTCAGCTTCAGACGTAGGTCCAAATGCCCCTCACTCCACACAGTCCTCAAACCAGAACCTTCCTCACCACCACGTGGGGGAGCTCAAGACCCGCTCCCGCCACAGGTGTGGATCCCCCTACCTCTCCTTCCCCTCCCCTCTCCCATACTGTCTGAACCAGGGCCCAAATCTCTGAAACCATTTCCCATCTGGACCCTGCCCTATCCACCCTCCGCGGGCTGAGAACAGGGGGCCAAGTCCCTTCCACACTCTAAGCCACCAGTCAGAGCAAGGCAGAACAAGGCCAAGGAAGGAGGAAAGGGCACCGGCCCAGGAAAAGGTCAGTGGCGAAGCTCCTGCCTCCCTGGGCCTCTGCTGAGCTCAGCACAGGGCAGGGGTCCAGGCCGTACAGGGGTGGAGTCGCTGGGAAACTCTCAGAGGTGGGGACACAGAGATGGGGACACAGTAACCCCAGGCCTGAGCCCTTCACATGCAGAGGGAGGGTGCATGCACCCTTGATCCAGACACACCACCGATGGCCCCCAGTGACCATCACTCAGGAGAGGTTTGCTTGGCCCACCAGCTCTCCAGGACAGAAGCACATGCATGGATCTGGGGGCCTCCCGGGACCCCTGAGGGTTCCTTGCAAGGGCACCCCCAAGACACGCACCCAGCTCCAGCCCGGGGGCCCCCAAAGGACCAGATGGTCAGCAGGGCTGGACAGCAGCCACTCACCAACCCAGGAGCTGCAGCCTTCACCTTCACATCCTCCCTGCAGGCTGAGGACCAGCCCAGCCTCACCTGCTGCCCTCAGACCATCCCTGCCCCAGGGCACTCACCAGGGCACCTCCAGGCCCAACTGGCCTCATTTCCTCTTGGCTGCTCCGGGCCTGCCTGCTCTGCCCACTTGGACAATCTGTCCACTTTGGAAAAACGCCTCTTTTCTCACACTGACCTCCTTACATGTCTGCCAGCTACGCAGGAATCATGCGTTCCACACACCTGGTGTTTCTGAAGGACTGTGCTGGTGGGGTGCAAGTCACTGGGAGTCAATGTGGGATCACACAGACAGAGGCCCCGTCACACACGTCCTATGTGTCTCCACTGCACGTGAAGCGTCAGGTTACATACACGCATGTTCCCAAGTATATGCAGAGTGTGTGCACACGTGTCTGTGTCATGTACACAAGTTTGCATCTACTTTGAGTGTTTGTTTGAGTTTACCTCTAGTCTTTTCTCTATGAATATCCATGTGGATTTAGCACCAAGAGAGAACAAAGGGAAACTGGAAGGGGTGGTCCCCTTGGGAGCTGCCCGGGGAGCCGTGGGGTCACTCACCAGGCCGTGTGTCATGCTGCCTCATCTGCACTTCCTCCACGCAGTCGGCCGGGAACCAGCCCGTGCGGCCTTTCACGGTTCCCTCCCAGAAACCGCCCTCCCCAATGCTGAGCACTGGAGGAAGAAGCCAGACAGGCCGTCAGTGGGGAGCAGAGCTGGGCGCCTACCCCACCTCAGGAGCAGGTTCTGCCCACCCACCCCCTGCCCTTTCCCTCCTTCCCTTCCCACTTTCTCCCAGCTTTTTCCCTGGGAAGATTTTGGGATCCACGCAGAAGAGAGAAAGGAACAGATGGGCTCGGCACAGGGTGGGCATGTGGGGGACAGAGAGACACACAGATGGACACACTCGGGGAGGGGCGCAGGCAGGGGCAGGGGCCACACTCCTGCTGCTGCCCCCACCCCCAGCTGACCATGCTCCCCCAGCCCCTTCAACCGACCCCCATCCTGGCTCTGTCACCCACCCAGGGGTCACTGCCGAGAGCTCGGGGTCATCGTGCTGTGGCCAGTGGGTGAGGCCACGTGATGCACCAGCTGGGCTGTTTCCACCTCAGCCGGCCCTGAGGCTAGGAGCCCAGTGATGGCCCCGAGACCCCCAGAATGAGAGGGGTTTGTCATGGCACGCGATCCCCCCAGAACACAGGAAGCCCCGGTGACAGAAGCCTGCATAACACAAACACCCACATGACGGTCACAGACACCCCACGACGGCAAGGGTCCCCCACATCGCAGGGGCCTCCAATGGAGAAGCTGCAGAAGTGCCACGGGAACCCCGCAATGCAAGGAAGCTCTGTAATGGGACAGGGTCCTTCAGGCAGAGACCCCCGGGGACACAGAAACGCCCGTGGCGAGAGAGGAGCCTCCGTGGTGACACAGGGAGCCCGGAACGACAGAGCACCGGAGGGACCCGCACGGCAGGAACCTTCCCCAGGCAGAGCCCTTCACCGTGACACCAGGGATCCCACAAGGGCCCAGGGCCGCCCCGGCAGAGGAGACCCCAGAGCCACTGCCCCGGCCCGGCCAGCACCGCGCGCGGCGCCGCCCCCTCCCCGCGCCGGGCCCGCCCCCCCGCGCCCCCCCGCGCCCCTCACCCTTCACGGCCTCGCCGCGGTGCAGCGGGATCTCGCCTTCACCCTGCGGGCTGTGCGCCTTCACGGCGATGAACTTGCGGCCGGGGACGGCGCTGTAAAGTTTCCGCTTCGGGCCCCGGGGCGGCGGTGCGGGGGGCGCAGGGGGCGCGGGGAACCGAGCTCGAATTCGAATACAGCTCCTGGGCGCGCCAGGCTCGCTCCATGCCGCGGCCGCCCCGCGCCCCGCCTCCTCCACGGCCGGGCTCCTCCCTCTGCGGGCGGTGGTGGCGGCCCTCGCGCCCTCCCTCCCGCCCTCCCCTCGCCGCCGACCCCCGGGAGGGGGAGTTCGGACGCGGACGCGGGACGGTGGTCAGGGCAGCCTAGTGGGAGCGGGGGATGGGGCGGGGGCTTCGGGCACCAGCAAAGCCGCCTGGAGCCGGTGAACGGGAGGGAGGGGCGCCCCCCCCACCCCTCCAGGTCCAGGGCCCGGATCGCTGGGTGCCCAGTCCCCCTCTAGGCCTGGGTCCCCTCGTCCTGGACACCGGCCCCTGCCCACGCCCACTGCGTGATGCCCACCTTCCCCAGACCACTCCCAGACTGGGGTAGAGCCTGAGCTCTCACTCCTCCACTGGGGCTCTGCTCAGAAGCCTGCAGTGGCTCCCTAGTACCCAGGCAGGCCAGAGCCACCCGCTTTTCCAAGAGCCAGGCTCCCTCGGGCTTGGCAGTTTGCTACGCTCTAGTCACACGGGGCACCTCTCCTTCCCCTCCTGTGGGCTGTCCGTCACGCAGTTGCCAACACCTGAACTACTCTAACATCCTGACCCCTGGGCCAGCTGTTAAGTGACGGGCTCTCAGCCCAAACTCCCCCGCCGTGCCCCGTGTGATACTGGGGGGCTGATGGGGGTCGGGTCCCGGTCCGGCTCAACCGACAGAGGGCGCAGCGACCCGCGCGGTGCAGGGCCCAGCCTCGCCTCCCCCAGGGGGTGACTTCTCTCCTCGGGGCACCGAACTTCCTCAGCCCCTCCCGAGAGCTGCAGACCCTTGTCCACTCACCAGGGCAGCCCCATAAGGGGATCACTGCCCACCTAACTGCTGCTTAGCCCGGGCCCTCGGCTGTCAACTTCCTGAGACCCACCACCTCTGACGCACCAGGCACCCAATAAATGTTTGCGAGGAAGGAAAAAACAGAATTCTGCCATCCCCACAGAGCAGGTGAGCTGGAGCCCCTCACACAGCAGGTCTTAGTTTTGTGTCTGCTGAAAGGATGAATGAACACGTACAAAAAATGAATGCAGGGAGGAGCCTGTGGCAACGCGTGCCTCCAACTCAGGAGCAGCCTTTCTGCGGGATGGAAACATCCGGAATGCAGAATGTGTTCTTTCAGCCACTGGGCCGCCCAGCCCTTAGAAAATCCGCGGGTCTATAAGAAAGCTTCAGGGGAGAATTGAGATTTGGGGCAGTACAGCCAGCCTTGCGAGTCCAACAAGCCCAGGCAAAGACAGACACGGAGACATCGCTGAGACCAGGCTGCAGAGCAGGGGCGGCAGCACAGGAAGGGGCGCCTTCCATAGGCCCTGCTGCACCCTGAGCCCTCTGCTGAACACTCAGGCTTAGAAAGTTGGGGATTGGGTCTACCTGGGGCCCAGTGAAGCTGATCCGTAGCTCTGTGACTCTGGACCCGTCACAGGCCCCACCTGCGTACCAGGACGCTCATCTGTAACATGGTATTAATAGAGCATGAACATGTACGTTCGTCAAGGTTAAAGGAGCTAGTATACACATGCCATTCAGCCCAACAGCGGGCCTGGACTGACAGAACTGTAAAGGCCGGCGGCCATCCTGACAACAACATACTGTTTATGTAACTCTTCCACTCAACAATGTCTGCCAAACACCCTCCTCAGTGCCTGGCTCTGATGAAACTAGGAAACGACAAAGACGGTGCCTGCCTTCAAGGCACAGGGAGGGCAGGTGCTTTTACCGGCAGTTGCCAGACTCTGCCAGGTGATCCCTCACCTGCCCAGGGCATTCTGGAAGGCTTCCCAAAGACAATGACTTAGGTAGGACTATTCCCACTTACTGATGAGAAGCCCAGGCACAAAGTGGCTGAGAGCCAGTGCGCCCACCTCAGCACCCAATGCACAGCCCAGAGAGGCCAGTGGGCTCCGGTCCAGGCATCCCTGCCTCAGGGACCCAGGCCTCAGGGTGAGGGTAAAGAATAGAAGCCACAGAGTCCTGTAGGTGTGCCAGGGCTGGGGGAAACCATGAGTATACCCTGGGGACAGGGCTGGGGCTTACCTGTAGGTTTTGGGCCCTACTGGAGTGGCAACTCCATCCCTGTCCCCCTTACCACAGGCCACCAGCCCTGACTCTTCCCAGCCATGCCTGACAATGCAGTGTGTTTTCTAAATCACAGGTAGGAGCATACCCTCTCCACCTAACACGCTCCCTCAACTGCCCACTGTCCTCATGGCAAGCCCAGCTCCAACCGGAAATCAGCGTGCATGTGCCTGTCCCCACCTCCAGAGATGCCTTCTTCCCTTCCCCAACCAGGAAGCCCTAGCCCATCACTACACAGGTGCTAGGCACCACCAGGCCTCTCTCTGCCTCCCGGTGCTGGCTCCTCCTGGCTCAGGTCCCGGCACCCCACCCTCCCAACCCCTCCAGGGCCTGCCAGCCCCCTCCTACCTGATCTTGCTTTGGCCGGCCCTGCCTGCTAAAGGGCCACTGATGTTGCTCTCCTGGTCGGCATCCCGGTCACGATCTTTCTCCTCTTGCAGCCGCTGGAGCAGCAGCTGGTGGGGGAGGCTTCTCAGCGAGGGTCCAGGAGAAGCTGCTGGCTGTGCCTCCCCCTTCAGGTTGATATCGCTGGCTGAGCGCTGCAGAGGCCGAGGGGATGCCAAGCCACTGGGGCCAGCCAGTCGCCGCCGCTTCGCATAGCTGGGGGTTTCCCTGAATGGTACTGGGGTAAGGGGGCATAGGTAAGACTCTGAACAGCCAGCTGGGTGACCAACTTGTCCAGTTTGCCCAGGCTTTCCAGATGTTAAAACTAAATCCTATGTTCCAGGAACTGCCTTGGTTCCAGGCAAACCAAAAGAGTTGGCCACCCTACAAATGAAGCTACCATTAAGGGGCCACATCCCAGTCAAACTGCCTCTCACCCTAGCTTCAGAGGTAGAAGCCTGCTTCTCCTCTCAGCCGAAAGGGGCCTTGAGGGTGCTCAGATATGCTCTAAGAACTGCATTTCACAAGCTTCAGGAGAGACAAAACAGGCTACATGTGACGAATCTCACCAGACTACTGCTGAACAGGACCATTTGCAGTTAACTATAACCAGGGAAACTATAAAAGACATTCTAGACCAGGGATCAGCAAACCTTTTCTGGAAAGAATTGGACAGTAACTACTTAAGGCTTTGCAAGCTATATAGTCTGTGTTGCAATGACTCAACTCTGCCACCGCAGCATGAAAACCACCACAAACAACATACAAGCAGATAGGTGTGTTTGTGTTCCAATAGAATTTTACTTAAAAAGCAGATAGTGATTAAAAAGTATTATCCAACTATATGCTACTTACAAAATAATCACTTTAAATCCAAAGACACAAATAGGTTCAAAGTGAAAGGATAAAAAAAGCAATCTAATGTAAATAGTAACCAAAAGAGAGCTGGGTGGTTATATTAACATCATACAAAATAAACTTTAAGATAAAAACTGTAACAAGAGACAGAGAAGGACATTATATGTTGATTAACAATTACTAACATATACACACCGAACAACAGAACATCAAAATATGATACAAACAACACAATTTAAGAGAGAAATAGACAGTTCCACAATAATAGTAAGAAACTTTAATACCTTACTTTCAATAATGGGTAGAACATCTGGAGAGATCAATAAGGACATAGAAGACTTAAACCAATTAGACTCAACGATACGTACAGAACATGCCACCCAACAAGAGCAGAATATATTCAAGAATTCTTCTCGAGTACACATGGAACATTCTCCCAGACAGACTGTATGTTTGGCCGCAAAACAAGTCTTGATAAAGTTTTAAAAGACTGAAATCATACAAAGTATCTTTTTCAACCACAACGAAACAAAGCTAGAAATCGAGAAGTGAAAGAAAACTGGAAAATTCACAAATATGTGGAAATTAAACACCATACTCCTAAGCAACCAATGTGTCAAAAAAGAAACCAGGCTCAAAAAAGAAATGGTGGCTCAAGCCTATAATCCCAGCACTTTGGGAGGTCAAGGCAGGAGGATCACTTGAAGTCAGGAGTTTGAGACCAGCCTGGACAACATAGTGACACCCCCATCTCTATAAAAAATAGAAAAAGCCAGGTGTGGTGCTGCACCCTGTAGTTACAGCTACTCAGGAAGCTGAGGTGGGAGGATGGCTTGAGACTAGGAGGTTGAGGCTGCAGTGAGCCAAAATCAAGCCAGGGCACTCCAGCCTGGGCCATAGAGTGAGATCCCATCTCTTAAAAAAAAAAAAGAAAGAAAGAGAAAAAAGAAATCAATCATAAGGAAAATTAGAAAACACTTTAAGACAAACAAGAACAAAAATACAACATATGGAGCAAAAGCAGTACTTAAAGGGAAACAACGCTGTAAACACTTACTTTTAAAAAGGAAAACAATCTCAAATCAATAACCTAATTATACATCTTAAGAAACAAGAGAAGGCCGGGTTCAGTGGCTCACGCCTGTAATCCTAGCACTTTGGGAGGCCAAGGCAGGTAGATCACTTGAGGTCGGGAGTTCGAAACCAGCCTGACCAACATGGAGAAACCCCGTCTCTACTAATAATACAAAAATTGGCCGGGTGTGGCAGTGCATGCCTGTAATCCCAGCTACTCAGGAGGCTGAGGCATGAGAATTGCTTGAACCCAGGAGGCGGAGGTGGTGGTGAGCCAAGATTGCGCCATTGCACTACCGCCTGGGCACCAAGAGTGAAACTCCATCTCACGAAAAAAAAGAAACAAAAAAGAAACGAGAAGGCGAGGCTCAGTGGCTCATGCCTGTAATCCCAGCACTTTGGGAGGCCAAAGCGGGAGCATCACTTCAGCCCAGGAGCTCAAGACCAGCCTAGCAACATAGTGAGACCTTGTCTGTATGAATGAACCAATAAAAGAAAAGAAAAGAGGCCGGGCACAGTGGCTCATGCCTGTAATCCCAGCACTTGGGAGGCCGAGGCAGGCAGATCACCTGAGGTTGGGAGTTCGAGACCAGCCTGACCAACATGAAGAAACTCTGCCTCTAAAAAATACAAAATTAGCCAGGCATGGTGGTGGGTCCCTGTAATCCCAGCTACTCGGGAGGCTGAGGCAGGAGAATCGCTTGAACCCAGTTGGCGGAGGTTGTGGTGAGCTGAGATCACACCATTGCACTACAGCCTGGGCAACAAGAGCGAAACTCCATCTCCAAAAAAAAAAAGAGAGAGAAGAAAAGAAGAAACTAGAGAAAGAAGAGCAAACAAAATAAAGAGGAAGGAAGCAAGAGAGGGAGGGACGGAGGGACGGACAGACTAGAGAAAGACCAAAAAGAAACAAACAAAAAAACAAGAGAAAGAAGAGCAAACCAAACTAGCAAAAGAAAGAAAAGCTAGCAGAAGGAAGGAAACAGTAAGATTAGAGCAGAGATAAACAAAAGAGAAAAACAGCGGAGAATCAAGGAAATAAAAGGTTGTTTCTTTGACAATATCAACATAATTGACAAACCTTTGGCTAGATTGACTAGTAAGGAGAGAAGATGGACAGAAATAACTAAAATCACAAATGAAATTTGGGGACTTACTATCAGTGTTACAGAAGTTAAAAAGGAATATAACACTATGAACAATTACATGCCAACAAATAGAAAAGCTAGATGAGGTAGACAAATTTCTAGAAAAACACAAATTACCAAAACTGACTCAAGAAGAAACAGAAAATTTAAACAGACCTATAACAAGCAAAGAGATTGAATCCTTAACCACAAGCCTCCCAACGAAGAAAAGTCCACCACCAGATGGCATCACTGGTGCACTCTACTAGAAATTTAAAGAATTGACACAAATTCTCAAACTCTTCCAAAAAACAGAAGAGGAGGGAACACTCCCTCATTTCACGAGGCCAGTATTACCCTGCTACCAAAGCCAGATAAGGGCATTGCAGGAAAAGAAATCTACAGACTAATGTAATCAATATAATACATCACATTAATAGAACAAAGGGGGAAAAATGATCATTTCAATTGATGCATAAAAAGCATCTGCCATAATCCAACACTCTTTCATTATAAAAACACTCAGGAAACTAGTAATAGAAGCTAGTAACTTCCTCAACATAATAAAGGAAATTTATTAAAAATCCGAAGTGCTTGCTTCTGCAGCACATATACTAAAATTAGAATGATTCAGAGATTAGCATGTCCCCTGCACAAGGATGACATGCAAATTAATGAAGCATTCCATATTTAAAAAACAAAAAACAAACAAACAAAAAAAACACACATAGATAGCACCATACACAATGGTGAAAGATTGAATGCTTTCCCCCTAAGATCAGGAACAAGGCAAAGATGCCTGCTTTTACTACTGGTATTCAACACCGTACTGAAAGTTCTAGACAGGCAAAAATAAAAATTAAAAAAAAGGCACCCAAATTGGGAAGGAAGAAGTAAAACTATCTCTATTTGCAGATGGCATGATCCTATATGTAGAAAATCCCAAAGAATACACCAAAAGAGCTACTAGAGCTAATAAACAAATTCAGCAAAGTTGTAGGGCACAAGATCAGCACACAAAAATCACTTGTTTTTACACACCAGCAATGAACAATCCAAAAAGGAAATTAAGAAAATAATTCCATTTATAATAGCATCCAGAAGAAGAAAATAATCAAGAATAAATTTAACTAAGGAAGTAAAAAAATCTATATACTGAAAATGACAAAACACTGCTTAGAGATGACCTAAATAAATAAAAGGACATCCCATGTTCATTAATTGGAAGACAATGGTGTTAAAATGTTAATGTCACCCAGAGTGATGACAGATTCAATGCAAAATTCCAATGTCCCTTTTTGCACAAATAGAAAAGCAATGTTCAAGTCTATATGGAATTGCCAGGGGCCCTGATTAGCCAAAACGATAACAAATAAGAACAAGTTGAAGCACTCAAACCTCCTGATTTCAAAAGTTACTACACTCCGGGTGCAGTGGCTCATGCCTGTAATCCCAACACTTTGGGAGACAGAGGCGGGTGGATCACCTGAGGTCAAGAGTTCGAGACCAGCCTGCCCAACATGGTAAAACCCCATCTCTACTAATAATACAAAACTTAGCTGGGCATGGTGGCACACACCTGTAATCCCAGCTACTTTGGAGGCTGAGGCAGGAGAATTGCTTGAACCTGGGAGGCGGAGGTTGCAGTGAGCTGAGACTGCGCCATTGCACTCCAGCCTGGGTGACAAGAGCAAAACTCCATCTCCAAAAAAATAAAAATAAAAAGTTACTACAAAGCTGCAGTAATCAAACCATGTGGTCCTGGCATAAGAATATACATGTAGACCACTGGGATAGAATTGAGAGTCCAAATAAACCCACATATCTAGGATCAATTCATTTTCAACAAGGGTGCCAAGACCATTCAATGGGAAAAGAATAGTCTCTTCAACAAATGGTGCTGGACAATTGGATATTCATATGCAAAATAATGAAGATGGCTCCCTACCTCACACCATAAACAGAAGTTAAAACTTAAAATGGATCAGTGACCTAAGAGTGAAAACCGTAAAATTCTTAGAAGAAAACCTAGAGGATAAACCCTCGTGACCTATGACACCAAAAGCATGAACAACAAAAGAAAAAAATAGATACCTTGAACTTTATCAAAATTAAAAATTCTTGTACATCAAAGGACATTATCAAAAAAGTGACAAGGATCTCCTATTCTACAGAGAAAATATTTACAAATCACATATTCCACACAAGTTTAGTATTCAGAATATATAAAGAACCCTTACAACTCAACAACAAAAATAAATGACCCAATTTAAAAATGGACAAAGGACTTGACTTTTCTCCAAAGAAGATATACAAATGCCCAATAAGCACATGAAAAGATGCAAAACATCATTAGTCACTAGGGAAATACAAGTCAAAATCACAATGAAATACCATTTCACACTTACTAGGATGGCTACGGTCAAAAAAAAAAGATAGTAACAACTGTTGGTGAAGATGTGAAAAAACCGGAAGCCTCATACATCACTGGTGGGAATGCAAAATGGTGGAAAACAGTTTGGCAGTTCCTCAAGAAGTTAAACATAGAATTATCATATGATTCCAAAATTCCATTCTTAGGTATATACCTAAGAGATTGAAAATAGATATTCAAACAAGTACATGTACACACATGTTGACAGCAGCAATATTCAAAACAGTCAAAAGGTAGAAACCCACATATCCATTGACAGATGAATGCATAAACAAAATGTCATTTATACCAACAGTGAAATATTATTCAGCCATAAGAAGGAATGAAGCAGTGATATATCCTACAAGGTGAAGCTCAAAAACATGTTGAGTAAAAGCAGCCAGACACTAAGTGTCACTTATTATATGATTCCATTGACATGAAATATCAAGAATAGGTAAATCTATAGTCCACAGAGACGAAAGTGTGTTAATGGCTGACAGAGTTGGAGGGAGAGGGTAATTGATGCAGAATTATTGCTTAATGTGTCCAGGGTCTTCTTTTGTGGTGATGAAAATGTTTTGAATTCAATAGAATCGGCTGCACAACACCGTGAATATACAGAACGCTACTGAATCATTCTGGCCTAGAAGTGGTCACCTCTGCTTCCTTGCCTCTGTCACGTCGGGTCACTCTTTGGGTCCACATTGTCTCTTACCCTCTCTCAGGCACACACTCCCAGGCACAGGTGTGTTCTCATGGGCATGACAGCACCCTGGAGAAGCATTTCCCCAAGGTACTCATCAAAAGCACTGTGGGATGCCCATTCCACGCCCAGGCCAGGGACCCCACCCAAGGCCTGTCAGTCTAGAGGGGGCAAGCAAGGCTGTCGAGAGGCAGCAAGCTATCCTGTTGCCTGAAGGGTTACACAGGTCCCAGTCTACCAGATCCCACCGGGTGGCACCTGCCCACCAGAGAAGGCGGCACCTCCTTCCAGTTCCTCTTCTGTGTACAGGCCCCACTCTGGGACCCCAGTGGGCATAGGATGTAGCAAGTCATGACTGTCCTGTCCTTGGAGCAAATGTGTACGGAGGGCATGGGAGTGACAAAGGCAGACCCTGAATCAATCAGGTCTGAATTAACCCCCTCTGTGCCTCAGTTTCCTTCTCCGTAAAACAGTCTAATCACTCCTTGGGGGGTTGTTGAGAGGGCAAATTGAGATAAGGGGCTTGTATTAAATCCTGACAAATATGCTGCCTGTACTCAGGGAAATCTGGCGGTGTCACCCTAGTGTCTGTGTGTGGCACCTGATCAGGTAAGGGTGTTGTTGGCCCATGGAGCCGACGACCACATCAGGATGAACTGACACAGGTGCCTGCTCCTTACCACTGAGGGACGTGTGTCTAACTCCAACCAAGCAAGCACACCTAGGTTGGATAGCCAGTAAGTCGCAACCATGGTGACTCCAAGAGCCCTGGGGTATCTGTCCACAACGCACAGATGAGGGGCAGATGGGGCCTTCCCGCCCTCCCTCCAAGCAACTAGACCAAGGCCACCGGCAAGAGTCCAGCCCCACCCAGGATCAAACGCCACAGGACACCACAGGGGGAAGGGGATGCAAATGACCATAAGAGACCATGTTTCACTTAAGAGAAACTGAGGCGCAGAGGTCCCAGACAGCTTTCCCACGGTTAGACAATTATAGGCAGAAGAGGAGGCCCTGGCCGGGCACAGTGGCTCATGCCTGTAATCCCAGCACTTTGGGAAGCCGAGGCGGGTGGATCACGAGGTCAGGAGATCAAGACCATCCTGGCTAACACGGTGAAACCCCGTCTCTACTAAAAATACAGAAAATTAGCCAGGCATGATGGTGGGCACCTGTAATCCCAGCTACTCGGGAGGCTGAGGCAGGAGAATGGTGAGAACCCAGGAGGCGGAGCTTGCAGTGAGCCAAGATCGCGCCACTGCACTCCTGCCTGGGCTACATAGGCAGACTCCATCTCAAAAAAAAAAAAAAAAAGAGGAAGAGGCCCCACACATGCACAAACCAGGGCCTTCCAACACTAAGGGCCACCTCCAAAACACCAGCCCAAACCAGAAGTAACTATCTGCTGCCCCTTATGCAAACCCAAACCTTACCACAGTTCTCCCCTGACCTGACCCTGGACTCCGATCCTACCCATCCCACTGGCCCAGTTACTTCCTCAACACACACTTCCCTGCAGTGGCCTTGAGAGCAGCTGTGGCATTCACCGAGGGTCTGCCACAGCCTCAGATGGTTCAACTGACACAGCCTGGGGTGGAGGGGCTCATAACCAAGCCTTACAGGGGGATGTTCAGGGGGAACTCTACAGAAGAAGGGCCCTTAAACATGAAACCGACCTTAATCTTAACCCCAGTCCAAAATTCAACTCCAGCCCTGACCATGACCTCACATTAGAACCAAGTGAGAGTCCAACCCTAACATCTGCTCCAGACGTTTGCTGCCCGCTGTCACTTCAAATTAAAACAAAAACAAAAAATGGGGACACCCACGAGTAAACACTCATGGCAGGAAGGGGGTCCTGGGAGTCCATATACCAGAGAGAGGCACAGGCACCAGAGGGGACTCCGGCAGCTACAACAGGATGGTCCCAGCCTGGCCAGCAGCAACTCTCCCAGAGGGGACTCCGGCAGCTACAACAGGACCGTCCCAGCCTGGCCAGCAGCAACTCGCCCAGAGGGGACTCCGGCAGCTACAACAGGACGGTCCCAGCCTGGCCAGCAGCAACTCTCCCAGAGGGGACTCCGGCAGCTACAACTCTCCCAGAGGGGACTCCGGCAGCTACAACAGGACGGTCCCAGCCTGGCCAGCAGCAACTCTCCCAGAGGGGACTCCGGCAGCTACAACAGGACGGTCCCAGCCTGGCCAGCTACAACTCTCCCAGAGGGGACTCCGGCAGCTACAACAGGACCGTCCCAGCCTGGCCAGCAGCAACTCTCCCAGAGGGGACTCCGGCAGCTACAACAGGACCGTCCCAGCCTGGCCAGCAGCAACTCTCCCAGAGGGGACTCCGGCAGCTACAACTCTCCCAGAGGGGACTCCGGCAGCTACAACAGGACAGTCCCAGCCTGGCCAGCAGCAACTCTCCCAGAGGGGACTCCGGCAGCTACAACAGGACGGTCCCAGCCTGGCCAGCAGCAACTCTCCCAGAGGGGACTCCGGCAGCTACAACAGGACAGTCCCAGCCTGGCCAGCAGCAACTCTCCCAGAGGGGACTCCGGCAGCTACAACAGGACGGTCCCAGCCTGGCCAGCTACAACTCTCCCAGAGGGGACTCCGGCAGCTACAACAGGATGGTCCCAGCCTGGCCAGCAGCAACTCTCCCAGAGGGGACTCCGGCAGCTACAACAGGACGGTCCCAGCCTGGCCAGCAGCAACTCTCCCAGAGGGGACTCCGGCAGCTACAACTCTCCCAGAGGGGACTCCGGCAGCTACAACAGGACGGTCCCAGCCTGGCCAACAGCAACTCTCCCAGAGGGGACTCCGGCAGCTACAACAGGACCGTCCCAGCCTGGCCAGCAGCAACTCTCCCAGAGGGGACTCCGGCAGCTACAACAGGACGGTCCCAGCCTGGCCAGCAGCAACTCTCCCAGAGGGGACTCCGGCAGCTACAACTCTCCCAGAGGGGACTCCAGCAGCTACAACAGGACGGTCCCAGCCTGGCCAGCAGCAACTCTCCCAGAGGGGACTCCGGCAGCTACAACAGGACCATCCCAGCCTGGCCAGCAGCAACTCTCCCAGAGGGGACTCCGGCAGCTACAACTCTCCCAGAGGGGACTCCGGCAGCTACAACAGGACGGTCCCAGCCTGGCCAGCTACAACTCTCCCAGAGGGGACTCCGGCAGCTACAACAGGACCGTCCCAGCCTGGCCAGCAGCAACTCTCCCAGAGGGGACTCCGGCAGCTACAACTCTCCCAGAGGGGACTCCGGCAGCTACAACAGGACGGTCCCAGCCTGGCCAGCAGCAACTCTCCCAGAGGGGACTCCGGCAGCTACAACAGGACCGTCCCAGCCTGGCCAGCAGCAACTCTCCCAGAGGGGACTCCGGCAGCTACAACTCTCCCAGAGGGGACTCCGGCAGCTACAACAGGACGGTCCCAGCCTGGCCAGCAGCAACTCTCCCAGAGGGGACTCCGGCAGCTACAACTCTCCCAGAGGGGACTCCGGCAGCTACAACAGGACGGTCCCAGCCTGGCCCCACACCCACCAGAGACCTCCAAGAGGCTCGGGTATCCTGGCTGAGGCCACGTGTGTGTCTCCTGGTTTTCCTTCCAGGACCGTGAGTCACGCACACACCAGGCTTTCCTCTACTCGCAGGCAGCAGGGGGCTCAGAGCTCCTTGCCCTGAGGATGGCTATGGCACTATTCCCAGCCCCATTCTGCTTTCCCATCACTGTTGTTTTCCTTATGTGTCGTTTACATGATCTTTCCATGCTGAGAGCTTGCTACGGACCACCAAGACTCATGCTTGCTCCAGGGTGAAGTGAGGTCCACCACCCCCATGTCTCCTGCTGGCTCTTCCTAGGATTTAACGGGAAACAGGGACTCTGACCCTAACTTCAACCCCACTCTCAACCTATGCTGCCCCCTAAGCTGAATGCTAGCCCCGGCCCACAGCCCAAACCTCACCATGCTCTTCTCCCAGACCAAAAACAATGTTCACTCAACACAGGCCCTGTGGCCCGTTCCTCATGCCCGCAGTGGCCACTCAGAGACCACTGGCCACACAGTGTAGATGTGGGGTGTGGGGCCCCTTTATGTCACCACTGACCCCCACATCTGCTGGGCCCCAGAAAACCACACGAATCTACATTCAGCAGGGTCGCCCAGGTGGGCAGAACTCACCAACATCCGAGTCTTTGTGGGTCTTGATAACCTCTGCAAGCTCAAAGTTCCCTGCGATGATGGCCACCTGAGGGAAAGGGGAGGTCAAGGCCTTGAGGAGCAGGGAGGGGCTGAGCAGCACCAGCTTTGCCTCGCCAGCCAGCCCCAGCTGCTCCTTCTCCAGTTCGTGTGTGGAGTCTTCCTTGGTTGGGGGCCCCGGAGACCCCAGCCCATTCCTCTTCTCTACTGACACACACTCTTGTCTGTAACTGGGATGCCACAGGCACACCCTATAACTGGAGTGACCCACCCTCTGTCTGCCTGGGACTGAGGGGCTGCCTGGACAGAAGTTCAGAGCTAAAACCAGCAGTCCCAAGCAAACGGGCACACTGGTCTGTCCCAACATGCAGCCATGTTTCCCATCTCAGCCAAGGCCCCGCAGCTGCCCAAGCTGCCAAGCTCATCCTCCCCTTCCTGTGACCCTGCACCCAGTCATCCAACAGGCCCGGGCGTATCTGCTTCCCAGTGTGCCCAAACCCATCTGGCAGCCCACTGCTGCCTCCACCTTCTATGACCACACAACCTCAGCAGCCTGACCACTCTTCCCACATCTCACTCCTACTGAAAATAGAGGAGTTCTGGCTCTGTTCCTGGTCCGCAAACCCCCACAATATTCCCGACTCCCCAACAAACTCCAAGTCAGAGACCACGTCCACCTGGTCATCAGTGCCAACCAACCTGGCCAGAGAAAGGGCCCGGAAACCTCCCCTGAATTACATCAGCGGCTAGGATCACACCCCTCTCCACCACCCCCCTCTCCACCACCCCCTCTCCACCACCCCCCTCCACCATCCCCCCTCCACCATCCCCCTCCACCACCCCCCTCTCCACCACCCCCCTCCACCACCCCCCTCTCCACCCCCTCTGCAGTTTGGCTTCTGCACCCCTGCTGGTCTCTCGGGGTTGGGGGGTCAGACCCACACCTGTCACCCCAGTCTTCTCATTTTCCCCATACCCCTGCCCCAGAGCCCTGCTGACCCTCCTCTCTCCCTGGCGAGGGGACGAAGGGAACATCAACACCAAATACCCCTCGCGTGCTGGGCTCGTCCCCCAACACCTCCTGTGGGCAGTCCTGGGGGAGGTGCTCCCTTAGGGCCTTCCAGGGAAGAACCAAGGTTCAGAGAAGTCAAGTCACATGGACACAGAGACAGACACCTCTGGGGCAGCCTTGAGCTCCTGTAAACCACCGGTGTACCTGGAAGGCTGTCTGGCTGTTGTAGTTGCGGACATCCCTGTTAGCTCCACGGAAGAGCAGGACACGAGCACAGCTCTCCTGTTGCGGGGAAGAGGGAATCACAGCTGGGTGGCTGGAGAGACCATCCGAGCACAACAGCACATGCGCACACAGGAATGCACACATGGCGTGCGCAGGGCACAGGCTCACACACACGGACTCACACCTATTTGTTCCATGTACACCTGAGTTGCAGAGACAAGCCAGTAGGTATACACGCTCAGGTCTCACCTGGCCCAGAGGGCCTAGATGTACCCAATTCATACCTGGTTATTCAGAACACACGTGCACACATGTGAAGCCCCTGTGTGTTCAGAGAACAAATGTGCACACATATGCCTATGAGGCTGTGCTGCAGCCACAACTCACTGCAGGACACAGAGCACATATATATACCATGGCACAGAGGCAGGGATGCACATACACAATCACTGTACAGGGTCATCTGTGTGCACACACACGTGTACACCCCCAGAACAGGCAAGTATTTCCACACTCCCTGGTGCACGCATGCAATCACTGTACAGGGTCACCTGTGTGCACACACATGTACACCCCCAGAACAGGCAAGTATATCCACACTCCCTGGTGCACGCATGCAATCACTGTACAGGGTCACCTGTGTGCACACACACGTGTACACCCCCAGAACAGGCAAGTATATCCACACTCCCTGGTGCACGCATGCAATCACTGTACAGGGTCACCTGTGTGCACACACACGTGTACACCCCCAGAACAGGCAAGTATATCCACACTCCCTGGTGCACGCATGCAATCACTGTACAGGGTCATCTGTGTGCAAACACATGTGTACACCCCCAGAACAGGCAAGTATATCCACACTCCCTGGTGCACGCATGCAATCACTGTACAGGATCACCTGTGTGCACACACACGTGTACACCCCCAGAACAGGCAAGTATATCCACACTCCCTGGTGCACGCATGCAATCACTGTACAGGGTCACCTGTGTGCACACACACGTGTACACCCCCAGAACAGGCAAGTATATCCACACTCCCTGGTGCACGCATGCAATCACTGTACAGGGTCATCTGTGTGCACACACATGTACACCCCCAGAACAGGCAAGTATATCCACACTCCCTGGTACACGTGTACAATCACTGTACAGGGTCATCTGTGTGCAAACACACGTGTACACCCCCAGAACAGGCAAGTATATCCACACTCCCTGATACACGTGTACAATCACTGTACAGGGTCATCTGTGTGCAAACACATGTGTACACCCCCAGAACAGGCAAGTATATCCACACTCCCTAGTGCACGCATGCAATCACTGTACAGGGTCATCTGTGTGCACACACATGTACACCCCCAGAACAGGCAAGTATATCCACACTCCCTGGTACACGTGTACAATCACTGTACAGGGTCATCTGTGTGCAAACACACGTGTACACCCCCAGAACAGGCAAGTATATCCACACTCCCTGGTACACGTGTACAATCACTGTACAGGGTCATCTGTGTGCACACACGTGTACACCCCCAGAACAGGCAAGTATATCCACACTCCCTGGTACACGTGTACAATCACTGTACAGGGTCATCTGTGTGCAAACACACGTGTACACCCCCAGAACAGGCAAGTATATCCACACTCCCTGGTACACGTGTACAATCACTGTACAGGGTCATCTGTGTGCACACACGTGTACACCCCCAGAACAGGCAAGTATATCCACACTCCCTGGTGCACGCATGCAATCACTGTACAGGGTCACCTGTGTGCACACAAACACACGTACACCCCCAGAACAGGCAAGTATATCCACACTCCCTGGTACACGTGTACAATCACTGTACAGGGTCACCTGTGTGCACACAAACACACGTACACCCCCAGAACAGACAAGTATATCCACACTCACTGGTACATGCATACAATCACTGTACAGAGTCATCTGTGTGCACACAGACACATGTACAACCCCAGAACAGGCAAGTATATCCACACTCCCTGGTGCACGCATGCAATCACTGTACAGGGTCATCTGTGTGCAAACACACGTGTACACCCCCAGAACAGGCAAGTATATCCACACTACCTGGTGCACGCATACAATCACTGTACAGGGTCATCTGTGTGCACACACATGTACACCCCCAGAACAGGCAAGTATATCCACACTCCCTGGTACACGCATACAATCACTGTACAGGGTCATCTGTGTGCAAACACACGTGTACACCCCCAGAACAGGCAAGTATATCCACACTACCTGCTGCACGCATACAATCACTGTAGAGTCATCTGTGTGCACACACACACATGTACAACACCAGAACAGGCAAGTATATCCACACTCCCTGGTGCACGCATGCAATCAGTGTACAGGGTCATCTGTGTGCACACACATGTACACCCCCAGAACAGGCAAGTATATCCACACTCCCTGGTGCACGCATGCAATCACTGTACAGGGTCATCTGTGTGCACACACATGTACACCCCCAGAACAGGCAAGTATATCCACACTCCCTGGTGCACGCATGCAATCAGTGTACAGGGTCATCTGTGTGCACACACATGTACACCCCCAGAACAGGCAAGTATATCCACACTCCCTGGTGCACGCATGCAATCACTGTACAAGGTCATCTGTGTGCAAACACACGTGTACACCCCCAGAACAGACAAGTATATCCACACTACCTGGTGCACGCATGCAATCACTGTACAGAGTCATCTGTGTGCACACACACACGTACAACCCCAGAACAGGCAAGTATATCCACACTCCCTGGTACACGTGTACAATCACTGTACAGGGTCACCTGTGTGCAAACACACGTGTACACCCCCAGAACAGGCAAGTATATCCACACTCCCTGGTGCACGCATGCAATCACTGTACAGGGTCATCTGTGTGCACACACATGTACACCCCCAGAACAGGCAAGTATATCCACACTCCCTGGTGCACGCATGCAATCACTGTACAAGGTCATCTGTGTGCAAACACACGTGTACACCCCCAGAACAGACAAGTATATCCACACTACCTGGTGCACGCATGCAATCACTGTACAGAGTCATCTGTGTGCACACACACACGTACAACCCCAGAACAGGCAAGTATATCCACACTCCCTGGTACACGTGTACGATCACTGTACAGGGTCACCTGTGTGCAAACACACGTGTACACCCCCAGAACAGGCAAGTATATCCACACTCCCTGGTGCACGCATGCAATCACTGTACAGGGTCATCTGTGTGCAAACACACGTGTACACCCCCAGAACAGACAAGTATATCCACACTCCCTGGTGCACGCATGCAATCACTGTACAAGGTCATCTGTGTGCAAACACACGTGTACACCCCCAGAACAGGCAAGTATATCCACACTACCTGGTGCACGCATGCAATCACTGTACAGGGTCATCTGTGTGCACACACACGTGTACACCCCCAGAACAGGCAAGTATATCCACACTCCCTGGTGCACGCATGCAATCACTGTACAGGGTCATCTGTGTGCAAACACACGTGTACACCCCCAGAACAGGCAAGTATATCCACACTCCCTGGTGCACACATGCAATCACTGTACAGGGTCACCTGTGTGCACACAAACACACGTACACCCCCAGAACAGGCAAGTATATCCACACTCACTGGTGCACGCATACAATCACTGTACAGGGTCATCTGTGTGCACACACATGTACAACCCCAGAACAGGCAAGTATATCCACACTCCCTGGTGCACGCATGCAATCACTGTACAGGGTCACCTGTGTGCACACAAACACACGTACACCCCCAGAACAGGCAAGTATATCCACACTCGGTGCACACATGCAATCACCGTACAGGGTCACCTGTGTGCCCACACACACATACACCCCCAGAAGAGGCAAGTATATGCACACTCGCTGGTGCAGGCATGTGCAGGACACACAGTCGCACCTGGTTGTAGAGGGCACAGATGTGCAGGGCTGTGTTCCCCGAGGCGTTCTGGGCCCCCATGTCTGCCCCATAGAACAGCAGGTGCTCCAGATGCTGCACGTGCCCAAAGCGGCAGGCCTGGGGGAAGAGCAAGGTGCTGTAGGGTCCCTGGGCAGAGGCTAGGGCCCCCACCCCTACAGACAGAGCCAGGACCCCCAACCCAGCACACAGAGGCCGGGACCCCACCTCGGCTCCCTGCACACCTGGTGGATCTCCTGCCAGCCATTCTCGTCGGTGATCCCCAGCTGAGCGTGGTCGTGGAGAAGCAGCTCACAGCAGAGGGCATCCCCACCCCCCAGGGCGCTGTGGTAGAGGGGTGTCAAGCCGCGGCTGTCCTTGTAGTCAGGTGAAGCCCCCAGGTCCAGCAGGGTCTGAGGGTGAGCAGCCTCAGTATCCACACCAGGCCCAGCTGCCCCCAGCCCCATCACCAGGCAAGAGCCCCTCCAGGCCAGGCCCCGCCCTCACTGACCGTCAGTGCTGCCGCATTCCGCTGGCGTGTGGCACAGTGCACGGCAGTGAGCCCATCGCGAGTGCGGAAGTCCAGGTGGGCACCACCATTCTTCAGCACCTTTAGCAGGTCCGTGGCGTTGTCCAGCTGGGCTGCGAGGCTCAGGGGGCACTCTGGGTTCACAGACAGATAAGGGTCAGGCTCCCAGCCGCGCAAAGGCCATGCCCCTCCCCGACTCCACTCCTCACCTCCTGAGTCAGGGTCATGGAAGTTGGGGTCCAGCCCCTTGTCCAACAGGCGTGCCACCTTGTCCGTGCTATGCAGCTGGACGTAGTCCATGAACTTCTTCAGGTTCGCCTGGAACACCGGCCGTCAGTCAGCCTGGCACCAAGGCCTCCATCATCTGAACATCACCCGCCTTCCTCCGGCAAGCCTCAGGCCACCTTCAGGCAACCCCCGCCACATCCCTACCAGTCTGACCTGTCACCTGACATCACAATTGTCAACCACGGTCCTGCACTCCCACCACGGCCCCAATTCCCACTCGGGTGGGCCCATGCACGGCTCAAAGCCCTTCCTTGCGCCCTGATAGCCAAACCAGTCACGACTGTCAGCTTGTACCCAAGTAGCCCCTCACCAAGGCCAGGTCACCCTGGTGGGGCCCCAAGCAAGTCCCCCACTCCAGGCCCAGTCACTGCCCTGGCTCCGTCTCTCCGGCCCTGCTGCCCCGACCTGCCTGGCCTAGAAGAGCCCGAGGTCCACCCAGGCAGGAACCAGCCCCACAGCAGCCCTGAATCCTCAGCACCCTGAGACAACCTGCTCCTTCTTCGGCCCATCTTCCTCTCCAGCTCACCCCACCGCAGACCCCCACCCCAGGGACCCATCCTGTGACATGACTTTGATGGCCTTGTACTCATTCACCCAGTTTATTCACTCACCCCACAAGGCCTCACTTCCCCAGCCGGCACTACGGACACCACACACACAAGGCAAGGTGCCCTGGCCAAAGGCCGGGGCCCTTCCATAAACACCCAGTGTACCTCAGAAATAGGGGAGGGTGCCATAGGGACCCCTGCCTTGGGAGGCAACCTCCTCAGGCGGGCCAGGCAGTGAAAGAGGAGGAAGTGCTCACTACCAGGGGAGAGGGAAAGGCCAGCTGGAGCCCAGGCAAGCAGAAACACGGGCTATGTAAGAAGTTCAGGCTCATCCTAAAAACAAACGAGACCTACTTCAGAGTGAGTCACTCATGTCTTGTTGGTCACTGAAGAGAGATCCGGAGGGAGAGGTGGCCATGGGGTAGGAACCCAGGCTGACAAGGTCAAGTGAGGGCCAGTGGCAGGAGAGGGGGACCTTTCCACAGTGGACTCTGCCCAGCCATAGTGCCAAGGCCGTTGACCACCGCCTGCCCTGGGGCAGCAGAAAAGCCTGGCACAGAAGCCTGAGGCTCCAAAGTCACTGATGGGACCATTAGGACACAGGGCTGACAGTTCTGATTCCTCTCCTGGGCTCCAGAGACCCTCCATTCTGACCCCTCTCCTGAGCTCGAGACCGCCCATAAAGTATCCAGCAAACAAGTGCCTGCTGGACTGTGAGCTGCGGGTGGAAGCCCCTGGGGAGGGGCTGTGGCACCCACCCTGCCCCTCTGACATTCAGCGGGAAATAGTAAGGTGCCCCCCTCAAGAGCATTTGGGGTCAGGCCCAGTTGGGGGTGGCACCCAGCAGTAGACACCTCAAAGGCATGCCTGGGCACAGGGCCTGGAATCAGACAGATCTGGGTTCAGCCCCAGCTTCACTGTCTACACAGTCGGGTACTCTGTGTCCCCATCTGTGAAACAGGGTTATAATAGTCCCTCTGGAAGAGGATTAATGAGAGGTCTAATCACAAATGCCTAGCACTGGTCGACCACTCGATGCTGGGTGCCTTGTCCCGACAGCCATCACATCAGATGCTTGTCCACTCCCTCTCCACCCAGCTTCTCACAGGACACTCCAGCCCCTAAGCCAGGGGGGTCGGCAAGAGTCTGATCTAACTGGAACACATCACTGTACCACCTGACCCCAACCATGGGGCCAGGAATCTGTGCCCAGCCCTTCAGCCACACCCAGTACAGGCTCTGGGCCCCTGATGATGGGGAAATGGACTGAGCTAAAGCTGGGGGACTGTGGTCAGCCCCAAGCTGGGGTGGGGGACAGCAGCCACAGGGAGGCAGGAGGGAACCTCAGGAGCCCCCTCCCCGTGATCCTTTACCTTTGTGTGAAGCTTTGCAAACTGCTTATCATCGATGAGGTTCTGGGCATAAACTCGCCGCTTGTATCGAAACTGCTCAGATAAAGAAAAGGTAGAGAAAATGCCCCCACCCCGGCTGAGCAAGTGAGTCCATGCACAAACCCCGTCCCGCTCATGCTGGCCACACCGCACCCCTCACTGCCCTCCTGTACACACCATCAGTCATACTACCACAGTGGACAGAGCTAACAGCTGCCATGCACCCACCACACTCAGGCATGATGCAGCCCGATGGAAGGCACGTGCCTAGCTGCCCGCAGCCTGCACTGTCCCGTCGCCTTCCCATCCCCAGGATTCTCGGCAAAATCCCACTCCTCTCTGAAGGCCTGATTCCAGGCTTACCATCCTAGACATCCCCCTCCACTCTCCAGGTAGAACTGACCCCACTTTCCTGTGCCACCACGGAGGCCCGCCCAACTTTGAGCTCAGCTCACAAAATCTTTATTCAATGCCCACTGCAGTTGGGCACCCCCCTCCACCCTGCCAAACTCCAAGACCTTCCACAGGACTGACCCCGTCTACGTCCCCATGCCTAGCAAGGCACTCAATACATCTTCACACCATGCATGGGTGAGTAAAGGAGGGGACTTGGTTGGCCTTCACAAGACTTCACAGCTGGAGAAAGGAACAAACGTGCACACAGATAGCCCTGCTCACACCACACACCCCTCTGGCACTCTCTCGTGCTCACACTCCTCCCTGGAGAACAATGCTCAGCGTCCACACCATCCATGCTGCTCAATGCACACACTGTTCAAACTACACACACCACACTGACTCTGTGGCACACAGCCCACACTGCACACACTGTGCACACTGTTCACTGTATACTGCGCATCCTGCTTACCACAATCACAACACTCACACTGTACTCACTGCCCCACACTGCAATGCTGTACACACTGCTCACTGCACACTACACACTGCACACCACTCACTGCACACACGGTACGTGCCCACTGCATACTTTGTGCACACTGACTGCACTGTGCCCACTCACTACACATGCTCACGGCACACAGCACACACCACTCACACTGTACATGCTGTGCACACTGCCCACTCACTGCACACACTGTGCCTGCTAACTGCACACACTGCCTGCTCACTACACATGCTCGCACACTGCCCACACTGTACATCCTTACTGCTCGCCCTGCCCGCTCACTGCACACACCGCGCCTACTCATCGCATACACTGTGTCCGCTCGCTGCACCCTGTACACGCTCACTGCACTCTGCACACAGCACCACACACACACACACACACACACACACACAGCCTCCACCCCTCACCCCTCCCACTTGTGTTTCCCCACTGCCGTGCCCTTCACTGGTCCCGCCACGGGGCTTGGTGATCCACCCTGCGCGCTCCTCAGCTCACCCCCGCGCCGGCCACTTACCTCCAGGTAGGGCAGGGGCGTGTCCAGGTTGGGCGGGTACTCCTGCAGGAGCCGCTCCTCATCCAGGAACTTGCCGGCGCGGCCCCGGGAGGGCGGCTGGAAAAGCCCATAGTTGAGCGCGTCCTGGAGGCTGTGGTTGAGGGCGCAGAGCACGCGCTGCTTGGCGGCCCACACGGGCGCGGCCGGGTCCAGGCGCAGGCACTTCTGCAGCGGAGCGGGCTCGTGAGCTCAGGTCCCGGGAGCGCGGACCCGCCCCGCCGGCCCCATGCGGGGTGCCGAGCCCCGGGCCCCCGCCGAAGGAGTCCGGGGCTCGGGTGCCGGCGCCCGGGACCCCGCGCCTCCGCGAACCGCGGCCGAAGCCCCGCCCCAGGGGCCGGGCTTCCCGGGGCCCCGCCCTGGCGATGGGGAGGGTCCCGGCGGAGGCGGCGGGGGAGGGGTGAGTAGCCGTGGGCCGGGGGTCCCGGGCGCCGGGCGCGCCCGGCGGGGGTGGGGGAATCCCGGGCGGGGAGCGCAGGGGCACGGCCGGGCCCAGGGCGGCGGGGCTCACCGTCTGCTGCAGGTCCGGGATGCCGACGCGCACGACCACGGCGCTGGCCCCGGGGCCGTCCATCCCCGCGCCGGGGCCCGGGCCGGGGCCGCTCGCGCCGGGGAACGGAGCGCCCGGGGACTCCGCGCGCGGCGCCCCGGCCCCCCCTTCCCCCCCGCCGGAGCCCCGTCGGCCGCGCTGCGCGGGAGGGGGCCGGGGGGGGCCGGGGCCGGGGCCGGCGCGGGGGACAGCGGCTCCGGGGGCTCCGCAGGGGCGGCGGCGGCGGCGGCGGCGGCGCGGCTCAGCTGCATCGGCCCCGGCTCAGCTCGGCGCCTGCCTTCCCCGGGGGCGGGGGCGGCGGGGGGAGGGGGCCTGAGACGGGAGGGAAGCGGGGGTGGCGAGGGGGCTGCGCCGGAGGCGGGGGCCGGGAGGGCTCAGGGCCAGTGCTGGGGGGTTACTTGCGGGGTCCCGGGTGGGGGCGGGAGGTGTGTGCGGAGGGCGGGGGCCGAGCCACGGGGCGGGGGTCTGGGGGGCTGTGACGGGGTTGGGGGGGGGAGTCCTAGGCCTCGGTGCGGGGGGAGTGGCTGAGCGGCAAGGGCGGGCATCCGCGGACCACCGGGGCGGGTGCGGCGGAGGAAGGGGTCCCGGAGCTGGGGTGGGGGCCGCGTCGGGGCACGAAGACCAAGGTAGGGCGAGAAGGGGAAAGAAAAACAATTAATTTCCGGAGGTGGCGGCTTCTCCCCCCCACTCCACCGACCCCCAGCTTCGGGCCTGGAGGAGATGGCGGGGACCCCCCCCCGCCCCAGGCCTGGGGGTCGGACCACGGGGACCTCCAGACCGGGGAGGGCCCGGGGCCCTTCCCACCGCCTCGGCGAGAGGCCCTCCGAATTAACCCTTTCGACCGCGCCCTGGCGTGTTCGGCGCGGCTCCCCCACGCCAGCCTAGTTTGGGGAGTTTGCTCCGGACTTCCCCCCAAGGACCCCTGGCCGGTCCGGATCCAACGCCTGTCGCCCCCTCCCCGTCACCTTAGCGACGGCGGGATGGGGGCGCGACCTACGGGGAAGGGCCTAGGGGAGGGGGCGCTACTAGTCTCCACCTGCGACTGGGAAGTGAATTTTAGTTTTACGCGTTGTCGTGGCAACGCGGGAGGGGGTGATGAGTGGGCGGAGGAGGGGGGAGCTCAGTAAAGAAACGAGCTCAGGCACCGCCGCCCCATCGGGGTGCACCAGGCCCCCCAGCCCTGAGCGGCCTCTCGGAACTGTCCTGCACTGCGAGCCCCTGTGCCCCCAAGAGCAGCCCCTAAGTCGAAATAGTTCCGCCTCCTGCAGAACTCTCCCAACCCGCTTTGCCTGGCGTTCCCCACCCCCCTCCTCCGCCCCCAAGCAGCCCCAGATCCTCCTAGAGGAGCCGCTGGCCCCCTGAGGGCAGAGCTTGAGAACGTTCACAGAAGAGCCCAGCCTGGGGAACCCCTCTGCCTAAGGAGGAAAACAGCCTCTAACCCCCAGCCTCCCCAAGAGCAGCTCCAGATCACCCACAAAACGGATTTTGCCTGAGCCTCCCAGGAATAACCTTGAACTGCTCCGGCCCCCATACACGCAGAAAAACCTCCCTACCCTCCCCCGCGTGACAACCTGGACCATCCTAAACACCCTGACCCACACAGAACAGAGCTTGGCACTCCCTCCAAGGACAGCCCCCACTCCCCAGCAGATCCACCTCGACCAGCACCTGCTCACCCCAGAGCACCCCTGACAGAGTGTTTCTGATGAGCCCTCTCCCCTCAAAACAGCCTCTGGTCAACCCCAGAGCAGGGCCTCACTTCCCTGGGACCAGTCTGGCTTCCTCCTCCCGCCTCCCCAGGACGCCACTGACCGGGCAGAGCGGAGCCTCCAGTGCGGTGTGTGGGTCACGTCCTGCGTTCTCCCCACGCCTAGACGGTTGCTCCCTGCCCAGGAACTGTGGTCCCAGCATCACAGGCCCCTCCCAAGGCCACTGGCCTGGCCTGAGTGGTGCAGCTGAGGGTCTCCCAGGGGAGGGGGCAGGATGGGAGGGGTGGGGGTCCCGGGAGCAGGGAGCAGGAAGGGGCCCTGGAGGCTCCCGTATCGGCAGGAAGCACCTTGGAAGGCACGAGGGCTGGATTTCCTGTGGCCCAGCCCTGGAGAGAGGAAACCAGTGCTTCCCGGCCCACCTCGTGTCTCCACCGTCTTCCTGCCCATGTCTCTCCCCCCGCTGTCACCCAGGCCCCCAACTCCCTCCCAACCCCTCCTTCAGCCCTAACCCTAACCTTCCTTGCCGTCCCTCCCACCGCAACCTCCACCTGCCTTTGCTCCCAGGTGCCGGCCCTTCATCCCACTGTGGCCAGCAGAAGGTGGTGGATGGGGCCTCCCAGTCCACCAGTGATGGACTCTCCGCAGCCAGGTCTTCCACAGCCCTGGGCCTCCTCCCTCTCCCTTGGTGTCTCCCTGCAAGCCTGCCCTCGGCTGGGTGGACCCAGAGACCCTGGCCGGCACTCCTCCGACCCTTAGACTGGACCTCTGGGCCCCACCAGCCGCCTCCTGCCAACCCACCAGCCCAGGTGAATCCAGCCACCCCAGGCCAGCACTGGGGCTGTGGCCACTGAGCATTTTGAGAGAAAATCTCACATCTTCACCAACCAGCAGCCCACAGATTGATGGTCCCCAGACTCAGCTGGGTCAAAGACCCACTGCCCGGGGCAACACCGTAGCCCCTGCCCAGTGCCGCCCTGAGCCTGGGTTCTGCACAGTGCCTGGCACGCATGATGCTCACATCGTGAAAAGAGTCCAAGCCTGAGTCACTCCCCAGCTCCACCGCCACCCCGGCAAACAGCAAAAATAACAATACCCACAAGCACTCACACACATGACGTCCTCTGGGCTCCGGGGGGGTTCCTGGAGAGGAAGCCAAGGGACACAGGATGTCTTTGCCCCTTACTTTGTTGAGAATAATCCCCAGGTTCCCCACGGCCTCCCCAAGCTTCCTGAGGACCCTCCCTCTGGCCCACCAGACCCCACCGGCCAGGCAGGGCCACCCTGGGCCCAGGTCTACCCCCTCTTCTCTCCCATCTCTGACCTGGAAGGTGGGGATTTACAGGACACCATGGCCCCTAGGGTTTTCCTTCCTTCCAACAGGGCCAAAATTCTAGAAAGATCTGTCCTTCTCACCATCCCCACTTCTTCCCCACCTGCCCCCACACACATTCAGACACAAATAGGCCTCACAAGGTCTGGGAGAGCTCATGTGGGCAAAGCACCCAGAATAGTGCTGGGTGCAAACCAACCCCTGGATGGACCCCAGCCCACTGCCCCGCTGCCACCCCAGGCTGAGGCCACTGCAAGGGCCCTCCCTGCCTCAGCACTTCCTGTGACACCCCCCAAACCTCGGCCCTCCTATCTTAATACACTCTCCAGCAAGGGGGCTCACACCCCCACCCACCTTCAGGACCTCAGGTGGGCCTGCGTTTGCCCACTGCTGGCTTCTCTCTTATCAGAGCTGTTGGCCTCACTTCAGCTGCACTCAGAGCTGTCCCCTCCCGACCCCTCACTATCGCTCCCCCGGCCCCTCTCACTCACTCCCTACCCTCCCTCTCGCTCAGCCCACAAACCCTGGGTGACCACTTCCCTGGAAAAGATTCCCAAAGGTGACACCAGCACCTGTGCTGCTCACCCCGCAGGCACGTTTCTGTCCTGTCCCACCTGACTTCCCCAGAACCTTCACCTCCCTTGGTTTCCACACCTCGGGAGAGGACCCTCTGCTCCCAGGCCATCCCCTCCACCTTCCTCTCCCAGGTGGGCCTGCCTGGCCCCACACTGCTCCACTGCCTCACTCTGGTCCCCTGCCTTCCTCCTGAGGCCCTTCTAGCATACTCTGACTCACTTATTTGTGCTTTAGTGTCTTTCTTTCCCTGCCAAAATATAGGCACCCAGTGGAGATTGACCTTTGCCGGTTTGGTCCACTGAAGTGTCCAAGCCCCTGGCACAGCCTGATGCGTGGCAGTGCTCCCGCTGTGTGGCGGGTCAGCACACCAGCCTCCATCTACAAGTCCACACCCAACTTCCCCTCTGCAGATCAGTCCCTCTCCCAGACTCCAGACCAGCTTGTGTAAGGCAGCCATCCTTGAATACACAGTATTTGCAGGGAGTAGAGTTTTTATTGCATCTAGTTATTGAATATCTATAGGTGTATTTAGGTTCCATTTTATCTTGAATCTTACTTAAGTTTTATTTTTCTAGGAATACAAATCTATTTCTAAATAATTAGCTTTTCCTTTTTTGATCATCTCTGTTTTCTATTTTATTCTGTTCTTATGTTTATTTCTTTACTTTTTTGAGTTTTATGATTATTTTTCTTTTTCTTTTTCTTTTTTTTTTTTTGAGACGGAGTCGCTCTGTCGTCCAGGCTGGAGTGCAGTGGTGCAATCTCGGCTCGCTGCAACCTCCACCTCCCGGGTTCAAGCGATTCACCTGCCTGAGCCTCCTGAGTAGCTGGGATTACAGGCACCCATGACCACACCCAGTTAATTTTTGTATTTTCAGTAGAGACGGGGATTTCACTATGTTGGTCAGGCTGGTCTCGAACTCCTGACCTCACGATCTGCCTGTCCTGGCCTCCCAAAGTGCTGGATTACAGGCGTGAGCCACCACGCCCAGCCTGATTCTTTTTCTAAATTGAGCTGGATGCTCATTAATTTTCAGTGTTTCTCTTTTGTCTTTTTTTCAGTGTTTCTTCATAAACCTATGAATTTCCAAGTACCACTTTCATTATGTCCCTTAAGCTTTCCTTTAAATTTTTTTTTTTTTTTACTTTTTAAAACTAGTCAAGTGAAACAGTGAGAGTGAAGAAGGAACAAGTAACTGGCTGGTTGTGATCAATTAGCTGTAAACGCCGCTGCACTCGGACCAGCCTTTTTTTTTTTTTTTTTTTTTTTTGGACACAGTATCACTCTGTTGCCTAGGCTGGTAGGATCATAGCTCACTGCAGCCTCCCACTTTCCCACTCCAGGGCTCAAGCCGTCCTCCTGCCTCAGCCTCCCAGGTAGTCGAGACTACAGTCACACACCTGTTCCCTTAATTCTTGATAAGTAGTATTTTCATTTAGTTTTGTTCTGAATTTCTTTTTTTTTTTTTTTTTTTTTTTTTGAGATGGAGCCTCGTTCTGTCGCCCAGGCTGGAGTGCAGTGGTGCGATCTCAGCTCACTGCAACCTCTGCCTCCTGAGTTCAAACAATTCTGTCTCAGCCTCCCGAGTAGCTGGGATTACAGGTGTCCACCACCATGCCCAGCTAATTTTTGTATTTTTTAGTAGAGATGGTTTCACTATGTTGGCCAGGCTGGTCCTGAACTCCTGACCTCAGGTAATCCACCCGCCTCAGCATCCCAAACTGCTGGGATTACAGGCATGAGCCACTGCGCCTGGACATTTTGTTCTGATTTTCTAATACCAATTATCTATTTTGGCTTGGGAATTGCTGAAAAGTATGCTTATTTATATTTTCAAATGCATATTGTTTTTTGTTGGGAGAAGACTAACCCTTGGTTATTGATATTTTATTATATATGGTCAGAGAAGGATCTGGATAATACTGATATTTTGAGGGTCTACAAAGACCCTTTCTTTGTATCCTACATGGTCCATTTTTGTAAAAGTTTCCTATTTATTCAGTAGGAATTGTTGGATACAGGTATTTCTATTCTTATCATATATATTGATATCATCTATATCATATGTATTGATTCATATATATGAATCAATAATTCATATCTATGGTACATATTAATTCATATGTATTCATTATATTCACATATAACTCCATTAGATCAAGCTTGTTTTATTCACATGTTCTGTGTACTTTCTAATATTTTGTCTGTTTGATTTATAAATTACTGAGACAGATGTGTTCAAATCTCTGCTGTGACAGTGGCTTTGTCAGTCTCTTCTTGAAATTTTGCCAATTTTGGTTTCATATACTTTATGGCTTTGTCATTAAATGCTAACAAGTTTAAAATTATTACAGCTTCCTGATAAATTCATCTTTTTATCATTATGTGAGGCCGCTCTTTATCTCTAATTGAGCTTTTTGTCTTAATTTTATTTTTTCCGACAGTTAATATAGCTACAACACACTTCTTCATGGCCTCATATCTCTTTCCATCATTTTCCTTTTATCCTTTCTGTCTTTATATTCAGTGTGCTTCCTAAATAGTATGTACAGCTAGATTTTTTTAAACCCAGTCTGACAATTTTTAATTTTTAAAAGTATGTATATTGTGATTAATGATATACTTTAACTGATTTTTACCATCTTATTTCACGCCATTTGTACTTTTTTCCTCTGCTTCTTTTTTCTCTTTCTGCCTCTATTGGATTGATCAAGTTTTCTTTATTCTCCTTTCCTCCAGCTCCCATTGGTTTGGAAGTTATGCATTCTCTTTCTGTCATTTTTATAAATACACTTAAACTTTGCACATGCGTAATTAACAAAGTCTAAAGTTAATTAGTATCTCTATCTTCCTTCTGTGTAATAAAAAGAATTTAGAATACTTAACCTCCAATCGCTCCTCTCATCCTATATAGGTTTTTGTCCATGTTGTTATCTCCAAATTAGTCATCTCTGTTATTACTAACCCTGTCGGAAAATAAATGCTTGTTTAGACTTAGTTACATGTTAACCAGTTTTGTTTTGTTTTGTTTTGTTTTGTTTCTGAGTCCCAGTTCCACTCTTGTTGCCCAGGCTGAAGTGCACTGGCTGGGTCTCAGCTCACTGCAACCTCTGCCTCCCAGGTTCAAGGAATTCTCCTGCCTCAGCCTCCCAAGTAACTGAGATTACAGGCACTCGCCACCACACCCTGCTAATTTTTGTATTTTTAGTAGAGATGGGGTTTCACCACGTTGGCCAGTCTGGATTTGAACTCCTGACCCCAGGTGATCCACCCGCCTCAGCCTCCCAAAGTGCTGGTATTGCAGGTGTGAGCCACCGTGCCCGGCCTTCTTGCCTCTCATTCTTTCCTTCTAGGTTCAATTTTCTTTTTCCTAAGTACATCCTTTAGACTTTATTTATTTATTTATTATTGAGACAGGGTCTCGCTCTGTCACCCAGGCTAGGGTGCAATGTTGCAATGTTGCAGTCTTGGCTCACTACAATCTTTGCCTCCTGGGTTTAAGCGATTCTCCTGCCTCAGCCTCCCAAGTACCTGGGATTACAGGCGTGCAACACCACGCCCAGCTAATTTTTAAAATTTTTTGTAAAGACAGGGTTTCCCCATGTTGCCCAGGCTGGTCTCGAACTCCTGACACTCAAGCAATCCACCTGCCTCAGCCTCCCAAAGTGCTGGGATTACAGGCATGAGCCACTGCGCCAAGCCTCTTCTTTGTTTTTAATCATTTCAGAAATATTTATTTTTAAGTTTCTAGTCAATAGTTTCATTATGTGAACTTTTTGATGGTCTGATTCTGCTTTTCGTGGCGTGGACTGATTCTTACACTTGGTGGATTGTTTCTGTGAGAATTTTATGACCAGGAGTTATGAGCTCATGTTGAGCCTGGATCTATGTAAGAACCTGAATAACCTGGATATGTCCCTTGTACCACTAGCCCAGCACTTCTTTTATGTCAATGCCTTGGCTTTGTGGCCAGGACCACAAAGGGTCATATAATTCAAACTCCAAAGCTGGCAATAGTGACAGTTTCACAGAAAAACTTTTTTTGCTTGGAACCACCACAAAGATTTATGAAAAATGTTTAAATGAAAAAGAAATGTGCAGTGAGAATTATGAAAATGGATTGTTCCCTAAGGTTTATGAGCACATACATGCCATTCTAAGTGTATTACACATATTAGCTCATTCGATCATCACAAAGTCACTCAGGGAACCACTGTTACTGTCCTCATTTAACAAGCGGTAACTTAACTTGTCCGGGGTCACTATGGCCAGTCAGTAGAGAAGCTGGTAGTCATGTTACCCAAGCGGGGCCAGTGTGAATCCTGTTCTGAGATAGTACGTGTCTTAAAATGAGGAGAATGGCCAGGCACGGTGGCCCACGCCTGTAATCCCAGCACTCTGGGAGGCCGAGGCCGGTGGATCACGAGGTCAGGAGATCGAGACCATCCTGGTTAACACGGTGAATCCCCGTCTCTACTGAAAATACAAAAACGTAGCTGGGCGTGGTGGTGGATGCCTGTAGTCCCAGCTGCTTGGGAGGCTGAGGCAGGAGAATGGCGTGAACCTGGGAGGCAGGGGTTGCAGTGAGCCGAGATCGCGCCACTGCACTCCAGCCTGGGCAACAGAGCGAGACTCCGTCTCAAAAAAAAAAAAAAAAAAAATGAGGAGACTGGTTCCACTCTTGGGATCTATAGGAGAACTGTGAACTCAGGAGCTGCTGGTGACCGAGTGGTAGCCTTGAGAAGAAAGCCACACTACCACACTACGGCCGGCATCTGGGGCCTACCATCCTGAACGCACCTTACATCCAAAGCTAAGCAGGCTCGAGAAGAAAGTCACACTGGAAGAAATAGAGATTGGGAGACAGGGAAGGTTCTGAAGGGGTTTGAGTTTCTAATTTTAGTCCCTGAAATCTGATAGCACTTCTGCAGTTTGGTTTCAAGGAACAATACATTTCCCAGAGAAGTTCAAGAGCTGGACTTGGAGCAAATGCCCAGCTCAGCCACCAAATACCCAGGTGGCCTAGGAAAGCTTCCTAGCCTTCCTATGTCTCCGTGTGTGCTCAGCTAAGCTGGGGACTATAGTACAAACTGTTTCATTTCCTCATTCATTCTGGCCAGATGGCAGGCCTGGTTGAGATGCAAGGTGTCTGCCTTCAGAGGCTCACAGGTCAGTTCTCAGCCTCCTGGGCCATTGTGTGGACTAGATGAGGTACGTGTGTGTAAAATGCTTAGCACATGCCTAGTACCTGGTAAACACTCTAAATTTTATCATCATCAAAGCTAGTTCAGATTTTGGAGTGTATTCTGATGAGTGTGTTCTCCATATCTAGCAGCAAAACAGCAGCGTAAAGGGATGGCTGATCTTTGTTGTATATTCTTAGAAAGAGTGTTAAATTTAAAATACTGTTTTAACATTGAAATGTGGAATTAGCCGGCCAAGGTGGTTCACACCTGTAATCCCAGCACTTTGGGAAGCCAAGGTGAGCAGATCACTTGAGCTCAGAAGTTTAAGAACAACCTGAGCAACAAAGTGAGGCCCCGTCTCTACAAAATTACGGACATTTGCCAGACGTGGTGGCGCGTGCCTGTGGTCCCGGCTACTTGGGAGGCTGAGGCAGGAGGATCGCCTGAGCCTGGGTGGTCAAGGCTGCAGTGAGCCGAGATCACACCACTGCACTCCAGCCTGGGAGACAGAGCGAGACCCTGTCTCAAAGGAAAAAAAAACGTGAAATTAAAAGTGAGAAATATTTGTCTAGTTAATTTCACATTTAGGGTTCCGAGTATCTTTTCATTCAAGACGATGTGTTTTGCCTGTGTTTACCTCTCCACTCTCTCAAAGGCCACTGACAATTTAAGATCTATGTACCTATTTTTATTGTAGTGAAAAGCACATAACATGCAGTTCACCATCATAACCGTGTTTAAGGGTACAGCACAGGAGAGACAAAAAGAATGAATTCCCTGTTCTACTGATTTCCCCTTATCAGTGCTGCGCTTGACTAGTCTTATAAAATTAAAGATTTAAAAATTTTATATATATATATATATATTTTTTTTTTTTTTGATACAGAGTTTCATTCTGTCGCCCAGGCTGGAGTGCAATGGCACAATCTCGGCTCACTGCCACCTCTGCCTCCCAGGTTCAAGCAATTATCATACTTCAGCCTCCCTAGTAGCTGGGACTATAGGTATGCACCACCATGCCTGGCTAATTTTTGTAGTTTTAGTAGAGATGGGGTTTCACCATATTGGCCAGGCTGGTCTCGAACTCCTGGCCTCAAGTGATCCACCCACCTCGGCCTCCCAAATTGCTGGGATTACAGGCATGAGTCACCACACCTGGCCCTAGAACTATGTATATTTTTAAATAATAAATCCATCCTCATGTTAGAACCATCAAATGGGTTATGACTGGAATGACGCAGATGGGATCAGAGATGAAGAAGCCAACAAAAGCCAGAGAGTCGGCCATACCACAAGAAGGACGTCCGGGCTGCTGGGGAATGGCTTATTGGCCATTCACATAGCTTCTTTCGTGAAGTGTCTGTTCTAGTCTATTGCCATTTTTAAAAACTGAGTGGTTTGAGTTATTAAAATTTAGGAGCTCCTTATATAATCTGGATACAAGTTTTTTGTTGTTGTTGTTGTTTTGAGACGGAGTCTCCCCCTGTCGCCCGGGCTGGAGTGCAGTGGCGCGACCTCAGGTCACTGCAAGCTCCACCTCACGAGTTCCCGCCATTCTCCTGCCTCAGCCTCCCGAGTAGTTGGGACTACAGTGGCCCACCACCACACCCAGATAATTTTTTTGTATTTTTAGTAGAGATGGGGTTTCGCCGTGTTAGCCAGGATGGTCGTGATCTCCTGACCTCGTGATCCGCCCGCCTCGGCCTCCCAAAGTGCTGGGATTACAGGCGTGAGCCACCGCGCCTGGCCCTGGATACAAGTTTTTATAAGATATATGTATTGCAAAAGTTCTCTAATTTCTTGGCTTGCCGTTTCATTTTTGTAATAGCCTCTTTCAAAGAACAAAAGTCTTGCATTATTATAGAATTCAATTTATCTTTTTTGTTTAATCGTTCTCATATTCTTTGGGTTCACTCTAAAAAATCTTTGCCTACCACAAGATCACAAAAATATTTTCCTGTGTTTTATAGTTTTATTTTATTTCTTTTTTTTAAGAGATGGGGGGCCAGGCGTGGTGGCTCATACCTGTAATTCCTGGGAGGCCAAGGCGCATGGATCACCTGCGGTCAGGAGTTGGAGACCAGCCTGGCTAACATGGCAAAATCCCGTCTCCACTAAAAATACAAAAATTAGGTGGGCACGTTGGCGCACGCCTGCGTTACAGCAGGAGGATTACTTGAACCCAGGAGGCAGAGGTTGCAGTGAGCCGAGATCACGCCACTGCGCTCCAGCCTGGGCTACAGAGCGAGAATTCGTCTCAAAAAAAAAGAGATGGGGGTCTCACCATGTTGCCCAGGCTGTGTAGTTTTAGCATTTACATTTAGGCCTGTCATTAATTTCAAGTTAATTTTTGTTTTTGGTATCAAGAAAAGGTAGCTGTTCATATTTTTTTGGGGGGAGCATGTCCAGTTGTTTCAGAACCATTTTTAAGATTTTTAAATTTAGTTTTTATTGTGGTAAAATATACATAACAAAATTTACCATTTTAACAATTTTTAAGTATACAATTTTGTGGCATTAAGTGAATTCGCCACCATCTCCAGGACATTTTCATCACCCCGTATTAAACTATACTCACTGAACAATAAGTCCTCCAGTCTCCTTTCCACCCAGCTCTTAGAACCACAGTTCTGCTTTCTGTCTCCATGTATTTGACTATTCTAGGGACCTCTCAGCACCATTTTTAAAAAGACTTCCTTTTCCACTGAATTGCCTTTGCACTTTTGTTGAAAATCAGTTGTCCACATATGTGTGGGTCTATTTCTGGACTCTGTCTCTATTCTTTTCCTTTGATCTATATTTATAACTTTCTTCAATTCCATACTGTTTAATTTCTGTAACTTTATAGTAAGTCTTGAAAGCAGATAAGTCCTGTAACTTTGTTCTTTTTTAATTTGTTGGTTATTCTAGGTCATTTTTATTTCTATATAAATTTTAGGATCAACTTGTCAATTTCTAACTCCCCAAGAAAGCCTGCTGGGAATTTGACTGGTATTGCACTGAATTTGTAAATATATTGAGAGAATAGACATCTTAATAATATTGAGTTTTCTATTATATGAACATAGTATATTTCCTCATGTATTTATTTGTTTATTTATTTTGTAGGGGCAGGGTCTTGCTTTATTGCCAAGGCTGGTCTCAAACTCCTGGCTTCAAGCAATCCTCCTGCCTCAGCCTCCCACATATTTTGGTCCTCTTTAATTTATCTCAGCAATGTTTAGTAGCTTTCAGTGTAGCATTCTTACACATTTTTGCTAAATCCATTCCTAAAAATTTTGTGTTATTTCATGTATTACAAATAAAAATTTTAATATAATTTTAATTTCATTTTCTAATTTTTTTTTTTGAGATGGAGTTTCACTCTTGTTGCCCAGGCTAGAGTACAATGGCATGATCTTGGCTCACTGCAACCTCTGCCCCCCGGGTTCAAGTGATTCTTCTGCCTCAGCCTCTCGAGTAGCTGGGATTACAGGCATCCGCCACCACACCGGTTAATTTTTTGTATTTTTAGTAGAGACAGGGTTTCACCATGTTGGCCAGGCTGGTCGTGAACTCTTGACAGGTGATCCACCTGCCTCGGCCTCCCAAAATGCTGGGATTACAGGCATGAGCCACCGTGCCCAGCCTCATTTTCTAATTGTTGATAGTATAGAAAATCACCTCTTTTTTTTTTTTTTTTTTTTTTTTTTGAGACAGGGTCTCACTCTGTTTCCCAGGATGGAGTGCAGTGGCATGATCTTGGCTCACTGCAGCCTTAACTTCCCAGGCTCAAGCTATCCTCCCACCTCAGTCTCCTGAGTAGCTAGGACTACAGGCACACACCACCATGCCCAGCTAATGTTTGTATTTTTAGTAGAGAAACACAAAATACACAGGTTTTCGCCATGTTGCCCAGGCTGGTCTCGAACTCCTGAGCTCAAGGGATCCACCCACCTCAACCTATCACACAACTATCTTTTGCATATAAACTTTGTAGTCTGTGACCTTGTTAAATTGCTTAGTTCTAGTAGCTTTTTTTTTTTTTTTTGAGGCAGAGTTTCACACTGTCACCCAGGCTGGAGTGCAGTGGCGCGATCTCGGCTCACTGCAACCTCCACCTCCCGGGTTCAAGCAATTCTCCTGCCTCAGCCTCCTGAGTAGCTGGGATTAAAAATCTATTTAATAATGTAATCCAAGTTTTTTTTTTATTTTAGAGACAAGGTCTCACCATGTTGCCCAGGCTGGTTTCAAACTCCTGAATTCAAGCAATCCACTCGGGTTAGTCTCCTATTTTTGACAACATGGATGAACTTGGAGGAGATTATGTTAAGTGAAATAAGCCAGGCACAGAAAGACAAACGCAGCATAATCTCACATATGTGTGGAACATAAAAAGAACTCAGAAATGGGGTGGAATGGTGGTTATCAGGAGCAAGGAGGTTGTGGGGGAGATGTTGGTCAGGGAATTCAAAATTTTAATTAGAAAGAATAAGTTCCGCCTGGCATGGTGGCTCACGCCTGTAATCACAGCACTTTGGGAGGCCAAGGCGGGCAGATCACAGTCAGGAGATCAAGACCATCCTGGCTAACATGGTGAAACCCCGTCTCTATTAAAAACACAAGAAATTAGCTGGGCGTAGTGGCGGGCGCCTGTAGCCCCAGCTACTTGGGAGGCTGAGGCGGGAGAATGGCGTGAACCTGGGAGGCAGAGATTGCAGCGAGCCGAGATTGCGCCACTGCACTCCAGCCTGGGCAACAGAGCGAGACTCCATCTCAAAAAAACAAAACAAAACAAAAAAAAAGAAGGAATAAGTTCAAGAGCTCTACTGTACAACATGTTGGCTATAGTTAATAACAATGTATAGTGTACTTGAAAACTGTTAAGAAAGTATATTTTAAGTGTTCTCACCATAAAAAATGATGTGGGGTAATGCATATATTGATTAGCTCAATATGTTGCACATGGTAAATATATATAATTTTCATTTGTTAATTTAAAAAAAACAGTCAAAAGAAAAGATAAATATCTCCCAAAGGAATAATTAGACTGACAACAACAGTGAAGGTCAAGAAAGAGAGTTAAGAATAACCATTAACTCAGAATTATAGTTCTCATTCATTTAAGAATGAGATTGATGAAAAAAATATTTCCAGAAAAGGAAGAGAAAAAAATAAACTTCAATTATTTTTCTCATTTTAAAAGGCATATATTGTTCCTTTTCAAATCTACCATGTTCTTTGGTTCCTATTCTTTCTGATAGTTTCCTCATTCCTTATTCATGTTTTCAGTTGCATCTTTTATCTCTGTGACCATTTTGAGCATACTTACATGTTTTGTGATTTTTAGATGTGATGTCATGTTTGACCAATCTTAGTCTGTGGGAACCTGGAGGAGTTAAGTTGAAAGTGCTCTCCCTCAGAGGTGATTTACATTTGCTCCTGCCAAGTGCTTTAGTGCAGCCAACCTGCAACCACTTCAACTCAATTCCAAACCACCAAGATATTTTGTATTTAAACCCCATGCCCATTTGGAGGCAAGTTTATACCTATAAATTGTCACTGATTTCTTTTCTTTTTTTTTTTTTTTTTTTTTGAGACGGAGTCTCGCTTTGTCCCCCAGGCTGGAGTGCAGTGGCGCCATCTCGGCTCACTGCAACCGCCGCCTCCCAGGTTCACACCATTCTCCTGCCTCAGCCTCCCAAGTAGCTAGGACTACAGGCACCCGCCACCACACCTGGCTAATTTTTTGTATTTTTAGTAGAGATGGGGTTTCACCGTGTTAGCCAGGATGGTCTCCATCTCCTAACTATCTCATGATCCGCCCACCTTGGCTTCCCACAGTGCTGGGATTACAGGCGTGAGCCACTGTGCCTGGCTGTAAATTGTCACTGATTTCTATCTAGTGGTGAGGTCGTTACAAAATATTTCATTTCTCAGCTGGGTGTGGTGGCTTACGCCTGTAATCCCAGCACTTTGGGAGGCTAAGGCAGCCAGATCGCTTGAGGCCAAGAGTTCAAGACTAGCCTGACCAACATGGTGAAACCCTATCTCTACTAAAAATAACAAAAATTAGCCAGGCAGGGTGGTGCACGCCTTAGTCCCAGCTACTCAGGAGGCTGCAGCACAAGAATCACTTGAACCTGGGAGGCAGAGGTTGCAGTAAGCCAAGATCCTACCACTGCACTCCAGCCTGGGCAATAGCGGGAGACTCCGTCTTAAAAAAAAAAAAAAAAAAAAAAATTCAGCTGGGCGCGGTGGCTCACGCCTGTAATCCCAGCACTTTGGGAGGCTGAGGCGGGTGGATCACCTGAGGTCGGGACTTTGAAACCAGCCCAACCAGCATGGAGAAACCCCGTCTCTACTAAAAATAGAAAAAAATAGCTGGGTGTGGTGGCACATGCCTGTAATCCCAGCTACTTGGGAGGCTGAGGCAGGAGAATTGCTTGAACCTGGGAGGCGGAGGTTGCAGTGAGCCCAGATCACGCCATCGCACTCCAGTCTGGGCGACAAGAGAGAAACTCCATCTCAAAAAAAAAAAAAAAAATTAATTAATTTCTCCTTCCTGGAAAGCAGATTTCTTTCCTAGTTTTTCTAGCCTCTTACTGAGACTGTGGGTCTTCAAAAGTCCTGATTTTATCTGAGCATCTTCTTATATTGCATGGGCCCAAGTCTCTGTCTTTTGCCTCCTACGCAGCCTTAAAACCTGAGGCTTTAAGTTCCTAGTATTGAGAAGCCCCAGATTTCATACTTATTTACCCTGTTGGTTTCACTTTCCTCTCCATTTTGTGTCTCTTGGGATAGGCTTTGTTTTATTTTCAAGCTCAGCTATGTATATAAAAGAATGCTGGGCTGGGCGCAGTGGCTCACGCCTGTAATCCCAGCACTTTGGGAGGCCGAGTTGGGCGGATCATGAGGTCAGGAGTTCGAGACTAGCCTGGTCAACATGGTGAAAACCTGTCTCTACTAAAAATACAAAAAATTAGCCGGGCGTGGTGGCGGGTGCCTGTAATCCCAGCCACTCGGGAGGCTGAGGCAGGAGAATTGCTTGAACCAGGGAGGCAGAGGTTGCAGTGAGCCAAGATCACGCCATTGCATTCCAGCCTGGGCAACAAGTGCGAAACTCCATCTCAAAAAAATAAGAGAGAGAATGCTTATGACCAGGTGCAGTGGCTCACGCCTGTAATCCCAGCACTTTGGGAGGCTCAGGCAGGCAGATCACAAGGTCAGGAGTTCAAGACCAGCCTGGCCAACACAGTGAAACCCCATCTCTACTAAAAATACCAAAAAAAAAAAAAAAATAGCCGGACATGGTGGCAGGCACCTGTGATTCCAGCTACTCGGGAAGCTGAGGCAGGAGAATCGCTTGAACCCAGGAGGCGGAGGTTGTAACGAGCCGAGATCATGCCACCGCACTCCAGCTCGGGCGACATGCGAGACTCCATCTCAAAAAAAAAAAGAAACAAAAGAATGCCTGTTATATTTTAATCAGCATCTATCGCAATAGATGGGTTTTAGATTATATTGTTGGAAATCTGCTTTTCTTATTCAGCCACAGCACTGAGCACACATAAATGCTAAATGATTGCATGCTGGATAGATAATCAATGAAAGCACAAATGAACAGAAGGAACATTTATCTCACACGCACACACCCCGAAGTTGAGGCACTGGGGATACAGCAGTCTTGGCCACGCACATCCTGTCATTCACTGAGGGTTCTGGCATCTGGGTCATGGGTTGCCTGCTCACTCCGAGTGCTGACATCATCCACACCCCTCCAAGTGACCCCTCACACCATGGCTTGCAGTTCCTCAATGTCTCACTGACTGTAACAGCCACAGTTCAGGTACAGATTACAGACCCATGTGTGGCCACTTTGAGTGGAAAAGGGATTTAATACAGGGAGGTGGTGCCTACAGAATCATTGGGAAGTGTCTAGCACAAGCTTCTAGAAATACACCTCCCAGAAATAACACCGTACGGTGGGTGCCCCTGGAGGTGGCTCTGCCATAGTTGACAAACTGAGGAGTTGGAAAGCTGATGTCCTAACTACTGGCTCAAGATAGAACACACTTCTCAGCCAAGGCATCTATTTCCCAGTCCCCTTCACAACTAGGTCATGTCACTGAGTTCTGGAATTGATTTGGGTAGAAATGATGTGTACCACTCCTAAGCCTGGTGCATAAAAACACCCTGCCCCAACCTGCACACGTTCTCTTCACCCTCCTGCTGGCTGGCTATGGACTTCCACGAGGCCCTTAAATCCACATCAAAAATAGCAGTGGTTCGGCTCAGGCATGGCGGTTCAAGCCTGTGATCCCAGAACTTTGGAAGGCCGAGGAGGATTGCTTGAGGCCAGGAGTTCAAGACCAGCTCGGACAACAAAGAGACTCCCATCTCTACCAGAAATACAAAAATTAGCCAGGCATAGTGGTGAGTGCCTGTAGTCCCAGCTACTCGGGAGGCTGAAGTGGGAGGAATGCTTGAGCCCGGGAGGTAGAGGGTGCAGTGAACTGTGATTTTGCCACTGCACTCCAGCCTAGGTGATAAGAGTGTGACCCTATCTCAAAAAAAGAAAGAAACATCTTTATATTAAGCCACTGAGATTTTGAGTTTTACGTGGCAGAGTAGTTGGTGTTTCCTCAGCTGATAAAGGAGGGGAGCTCCAGGAGCCCGCCTTGGGCTTCCCACCTTGAGAGCCCTTCTCCGAGTCGGCAGAGCATGTGCATGCTGGCCAGCTGCTCAGAACTTCTACTCAAATAATATATTTGAGAACTGGGGAGGTGGCCGGGCACAGTGGCTCACACCTGTAATCCCAGCACTTTGGGAGGCTAAGGTCGGCAGAGTGCTTGAGCTCAGGAGTATGAGACGAGCCTGAGCGACACGGGCTCTATAAAAAATTTAAAAATTAGCTGGGTGTGGTTCGTGCCTGTAGTCCCAGCTACTCAGGAGACTGAGGTGGGAGGATCGCTTGAGGTCAAGGTCGAGGCTGCAGTGAGTCGTGTCTGTGTCACTGCATTCCCGTCTGGGTGACAGAGCGAGACTCTGTCTCAGGAAAGAAAAAAGACAACTGGGGAAATTAACACAAGATGGATTCACACCCCCCCACGGTGTCCATTGTGCGATGGACTGTGGCCCAAAAGCATGTCTCACTTGACTTCCAAAGCCCTCCTCTGACCAAGGGACTGTGGAGACATCATAGCGTCTGGGAAGTGGCATCAGCTCAGACCCAGTGCCCAGCAATCCCTGAGAGCCTGGGCGTCCCTTCCTCCAGGGCACAGCCATCCTGCCAAGGGCTTTGCCTCCCTTCAGGGGAGCCTGGGGGAAGCCATCCACAGCCTTGGGTGTTTCCGTCAGATGTGTCCCTCTAGCAGAGGGTCTGGGAATGACTCACATCCAGGAATTGCAAGAGGAACTTCCACCCCCCTGCCCTGCAACCAAGCCCAGGCCTGACTCAGGATTTTTCCACCACTGCTGCCCCTTCACCCCGTTCTGCCCTCTGCTTTTGTCCTGGAGGGCAACTCCTTGGCAAATGAGTCCAACGTCTGTGAGGCCACACCACTCTGCTTGCCCAGCACGGTGACCTCGCCTGCCCGGCCGGCCATGTGGCCTCAGCCGCCCCAGAATCTCCTCACTTGGTTTCCTGGCAGCATTGTCCCCTTCGTCCCCAGCAGCCTTCTGAGAGTTTGCTAAGGGTGTTGTCACTCCCCTCCCCACTTCACAGTATGCCTCTTAAGGTCTTGTTGAGGGTTGTCCCACAGGCCATCTCACAGGACAGTTAGGGGACAGCAGAGCAGGTGAAGCACGATCCATTCTTGTCTCCTTCAGGCTTTGGATGCCTTTTCCCCAATAAACCGAGGATTTTCTAGTATGTTACCTTCCTTCCCCTGGGCTGCATGGCGTTGGTTTTAAGAACCAGAGCACAAGCAGTCCCCTCCCAGACAACCCACCAGCCCCTCCAATCCAGGACCCGTGGTGATTGCCTCCGTTCCACCGGATTTAGGATCATTTTCCTCCAATATCCATTCCTCTGGACTTGGCTGAATGAGATTTACAAAATGGTGCAATTAGTTTGGTGTCTGTTGCCTCTTCCTGGGTTAAAGTTACCCTTGCCCTGCCCTGAAAGACTGGACTTTGACCTACTCATGCGTTCACCCCACAACCTTGCATTCCTTGAGCTCTTGGACCTGTGCAACGATGGCTGCCTCTCCTCTCATCACGGCCAGATCTTCCATGGGCTTTGCACTGGGGAGGTCTTGGCTGCCACAGACACCAGTTCTGGAGGCGGCTCTCTGCAGCCACTTCAGGGCGTAGATCTGCTTTAGAAGAGCTTCCTTCCAAGCTCCGCCTAGTTCCTTGAAAGCACCGGAGAAGCCGGGTACGGTGGCTCACGCCTGTAATCCCAGCACTTTGAGAGGCTGAGGTGGGCAGATCAAGAGGTCAGGAGTTCGAGACCAGCCTGACCAACGTGGCGAAACCCCATCTCCACTAAAAATACAAAAATTAGCCGGGCGTGGTGGCACATGTCTGTAATCCCAGCTACTCGGGAGGCTGAGGCAGGAGAATCACTTGAACCCAGGAGGCGGAGGTTGTGCTGAGCTGAGATCGCACCACTGCACTCCTGCCTGGGCAACAGAGTGAGACTCCATCTCAAAAAAAAGAAAAAAGAAAAAAAAGAAAGAAAGAAAAGAAACCACTGGAAAAGAACATGATCAGTGCAGAACTTCCTTCTGAGAAGAAACTGACATTTCTGGGCTGGGCAAGGTGGCTCAAGCCTGTAGTCCAGCACCTTGGGAGGCCGAGGCAGGCAGATGGCTTGAGTCCAGGAGTTCAAGATCACCCTGGCCAACATGGTGAAAGCCCATCTCTACGAAAAATACAAAAAATTAACCGAGCTTGGTGGCCCACACCTGTGCAGTCCCAGCTATCTGGGAGGCTGACGTTGGAGGATCTCCTGAGCCCATGAAGTCGAGGCTGCAGTGAGCTGAGACTGTGCCATTGCACTCCAGCCTGGGCAACACAGCAAGACCCTGTCTCAAAAAAAAGGAAAGCTGGGTGCAGTGGCTCACACCTGTAATTCCAGCACTTTGGGAGGCCACAGCAGGTGGATCACTTGAGGACAGGAGTTTGAGACCAGCCTGGCCAACATGGTGAGACCCCGTCTCTACTAAAAATGTAAAAATTAGCTGGACGTGGTGGCACATGCCTGTAGTCCCTGCTACTCGGGCAGCTGAGGCAGGAGAATCGCTTGAACCCAGGAGGTGGAGGTTGCAGCAAGCTGTGATCACACCACTGCACTCCAGCCTGAGTTACAGAGTGAGACTCTTTCTCAAAAAAATAAAATATATATATGTTTTTTGAGACAGAGTTTCACTTGACTTGCCTCCCGCAGCCTCCCGAGTAGCTGGGATTACAGGCATGCGCCACCACATCCTGCTAATTTTGTATTTTTCGTAGAGACAGGGTTTCTCCATGTTGGTCAGGCTGATCTTGAACTCCCAACCTCAAGTGATCCGCCCATCTCAGCCTCCCAAAGTACTGGGATTCCATGCGTGAGCCACTGTGTCCAGCAAAAATAAAATTTAGAAAGAGAGAGAGAGAGAGAAATTAACATTCCTGATAAAATGGTAATTTTGTGAACTGTTGGGCTTGCTTTTGGGCACCCACCCAGCGGATAACTGTCACTCACAGGTCAAGTGACCTGTAACCACAGGGTGTTTCTGTGTCGAGGCCAATGGTAGTTCTTGTTCCTTCCCTGAGTGAATCTTCGAAGGGGTCTCTCAGGGCCTTCACCTTGCACGTGAGTCTGTAACAAAGCCTGACCCTTGGTCGTAACTCACCTGAAAAGTTGTCTTCAGCAGGCTTATAGCCTCCTCACCCAAATAATCCCTATCAGGCCTCAGGTCTCAGCTAAATGCCCCCTTCTCTGGCAGACCCTCCGTGTCTGGAGGTTCTCGTGGCCTGACCCAGTACCACCCATCGCTGCAGAATGACAGTAATCATAATACCAGTGTGCCACATGCAACCCTCGCTGAGCATCTTGCTCATGTTGATGCCGTTACACCTCCCACCAACACAGTGAGGTGGGTACTGTCAGAGGCATTAGAACCACAGCAACCCCATCGTGAATAGGGGCTGGGTAAAACAAGGCTGAGACCTACTGGGCTGCATTCCCAGATGACAAGGCATTCTAAGTCAAAAGATGAGACAGGAGATGACACAAGAATACAGGTCAGAAAGACCTTGCTGATAAAACAGCTTGCCCCAAAGAAGCCGGCCAAAATCCACCAAAACCAAGATGGCAATGAGAGTGGCCTCTGGCCATCCTCACGGCTGCACTCCCACCAGCTCCACGACAGTTTACAGATGCCATAGCAATGTCCGGAAGTTAGGCTGTATGGTCTAAAAAGGGAGGCATGAACAATCCACCCCTCGTTTAGCATATCATCAAGAAATAACCATAAAAATGGGCAGCTGGCAGCCCTCAGGGCTGCTGTCTATGGAGTAGCCCTTCCTTTACTCCTTTACTTTCTTCATAAACTCGCTTTTGCTTTACGCTATGGATTTGCCTCAAATTCTTTCTTGCGCGAAATCCAAGAACCCTCTCTTGGGGTCTGGATCGGGACCCCTTTCCAATAACAGTACTATTGTAATACACTTGCAGGTGAGAAAGCATCCGTGGGAACTTGCCTAACTCAGGCCATCCAGGAGCTGAGGAGCAGCAGCTTGTGAACCCTGAATATCTGAGACAGGTCTCAGTTAATTTAGAAAGTTTATTTTGCCAAGGTTGACACGTGCTTGTGACATGGCCTCAGGAGGTCCTGATGACATGTGCCCAAGGTGTTCAGAGCACAGTTTCATTGTATACATTTTAGGCGGACATGAGACATCAGTCAACATATGTAAGATGAACATTGGTTGGGTCCAGAAAGGTGGGACAACTCAAAGCAAGGGCAGGACAACTGGAAGCGGGGAGGGGGCTTCCAGGTTATAGGTAGAGAAGAGACAAATGGTTGCATTCTTTTGAGTTTCTAACTAGCCTCTCCAAAGGAGGCAGTCAGATATGCATTGATCTCACTGAGCAGAGGGGTGACTTTGGATGCAATGGGAGGCAGGTTTGCCCTAAGCAGTTCCCAGCTTGACTCTTCCCTTTAGTTTAGTGATTCTGGGGCCCCAGGATTTATTTTCCTTTCACATTTCCTCTTTTTCTTTTTTAAAATCTTCCAGAGAAAGTGTTTCATAAGAAAATGAGTCTCTGGCCGCAGGTGAGGGTTAGGATGGCTTATTCCTAGATAGGTAGGTCTCGAGTTATTACAAAAGCTCATTTTTAACAGGTTGTGAAGTCTCTCATGTCCTATGAAGAGAAAATAGGGGAAGGAAGGGAGAAAAACAATAACAAACAAAAGAACAATCCTGGAAGATCAATATAGGCCACATTACTCTGAAGTCCATACATCAGTAGGCAGGTATGAAAGTGGCTTATGTATGTAAATAGGTTGGTGTTATTTTCTTCTGAAGTTTAAGCTGTCTAGCTTCGGTTCGCAGTGCTTTAAGAAAGCATAGCTTAGTTTTCAGTGACTTCAAATTAAGAAAAATGGGGGAGGCCAGGCTCAGTGGCTCACGCCTGTAATCTCAGCACTTTGGGAGGCCAAGGTGAGTGGATCACAAGGTCAAGAGATTGATACCATCCTGGCCAACATGGTGAAACCCCGTCTCTACTAAAAATACAACAAAAATCAGCCAGGCATGTGGCAGGCGCCTGTAGTCCCAGCTACTTGGGAGGCTGAGGCAGGGGAATCGCTTGAACTTGGGAAGCGAGGTTGCAGTGAGCCAAGATCGTGCCACTGCACTCCAGCCTGGTGACAGAGTGAGACTCTATCTAAAAAAAAAAAAAAAAAAAGAGAAAGAAGAAGGGGGAAAAAAGAAGAAAAAAATTGAAAACATTATTTTGAAGACTTGTAGGCAAGAAAAATTAGAATTCTGTCCAAACTGTAGAAAATAATAAAAATTGAAAAACATTAGGCAAGACTAGAATCTAACAACAGGTGTACTATAGGTTTTGAAACATAATTTTTTCTCTCTCCAGTTTCCTTTTTTTTTTTTGAGACAGAGTCTCGCTCTGTCACCCAGGCTGGAGTGCAGTGGCGCCATCTCGGCTCACTGCAAGCTCCACCTCCCGAGTTCACACCATTCTCCTGCCTCAGCCTCCCGAATAGCTGGGACTACAGGCGCCCGCCACCGCGCCCAGCTAATTTTTTTGTATTTTTAGTAGAGACGGGGTTTCACTGTGGTCTCGATCTCCTGACCTCGTGATCTGCCCACCTCAGCCTCCCAAAGTGCTGGGATTACAGGTGTGAGCCACCGTGCCTGGCCAGTTTCCCATTTTTACTAAAGACAAATCATGGTGGGATTGATTTGCTCTATTATACTTGGCCTGATTCTTTGTATACAGTGTGGCAAGAATAATTATATTTTTACATAGGCTTTTAAATTGGCTTTGATGGAACTTTGTTCCATAGATGGAATCTCAGATAAGACTTTTTAAAAAGTCGAGCCCAGCCATGGACTGGTACCATCAAATACCTATGAGTCGGGTGAATTCCTCTCCTCTTGAAGTTCCAAGATAATCTTGGTGTCCCCGGGCTGGTCAGAAAGTGACATTCTTTTTTTTTTTTTTTTTTTTAAACTGAGTCTTGCTCCATTGCCCAGGCTGGAGTGCAGTGGCACGATCTCGGCTCGCTGCAAGCTCTGCCTCCCGGGTTCATGCCATTCTCCTGCCTCAGCCTCCCGAGTAGCTGGGACTACAGGCACACTGCCACCATGCCCAGCTAATTTTTTTTTTTTTTTGGTATTTTTTAGTAGAGATGGGGTTTCACTGTGTTAGCTAGGGTGGTCTTGATCTCCTGACCTCGTGATCCACCTGCCTTGGCCTCCCAAAGTGCTGGGATTACAGGCGTGAACCACCACACCCAGCCAGAACCTGACATTGTTTACTTACCACAGGGATTCGACTTTACATTTTCTTTACTTCACCCTGTCCAGGGACTGTGGAGAAGGTCTAATTACCACAGGGACTCGACTTTACATTCTTTACACGGTACAGGGACTGTGGACGAGGTCTAATTACCACAGGGACTCGACTTTACATTCTTTACTTTACACTGTACAGGGACTGTGGGACAAGGTCTAATTACCACAGGGACTCGACTTTACATTCTTTATGCTATACAGGGACTGTGGAAAAGGTCTAAGGTCAGTTTTCCCATGGGGCTTTTATTGGCTCCATAAGTCGAGTTGGATTCCTTAAAGGAAAGCATACTTTCTATATAATTTTTATACCAAATAAGCCAAATTATGTCATTCTTTTGACTTTAGGAAACCTAATATCTTAAAGGATTAATTCGGTCAGAAAAAGACAGAATTTATAATTTGATTTTGGAAAGTTTGTTGAATATCAAAGGTTTAAAACACTTGATATCACAGGGCATTGTAAAATAAGTAATTCACTTGACCAAAGTGATAGCTCAAGAATTTTAAAAAAAAAAGGCAAAAGCCTTCATTCTTTGAGAGAGAAGACTTAATTTTCCAAACAATAAGCCCTAATAAAAACAGCATGAAGCCAATTAAATTTGTTTTTCAAAATTTTATAAACAATCTGTAAAATTTTAATATTGACCATAAGATATAACTTCCACAAGCCTTTTATAACCTTTATTAAGGAGTCAGTTAATGCTTTAAGAAAACCATGTTAATCTGACACAGGGGCTCATATTCTGGTCTTGCATAAGTGTGCCTTTGACAGCAATGATTAATTTATAGAGAAACTGAACTTATTTTATCTCTCAAATCAGCCCTTACAACCTCACATGTCCACCTCTTCCACAATCGTCCTTGGGCCTTCAGGAGTTGAATAGCTTTAGTCTCTGTGTCTCAGGAATGAAGTTTATTTTGATTGGCACCTTCTACCAGGCCCGAAGATGAGGCTTGAATTGCTGTCAGTGTTTAAGATTTAGCAGGACTTGGTGTCCTTTTCAGACCCAGGAGTCAAAGCCCTGTAACTCAATGCCATAAGGACTTTAAAACCACATACAAAGGATACACAGATGTAATAACCTTAATTTAAAAAAAATTTTTTAAATCTCTTTCTTCCTAAGCAAACCAAAACTTAATAATAATGGCATAGGAATTGTTTTGATAAACCATAAAATCTGTTAGGCCAGTTACCAAAAGGTAAAAAAAAAAAGACCTTCTGCACTGCACAGAATATTATGTTGGAAGAAAACATTTCCTTTAGACCTTTAAGAAAACATTGTTAGTATCAAGCCACAACAAACAGAACTCAAGGAAAAAAACTTAAATGAGCTGAAAATGAGTTTAAGGAGAGCATTACTATTTTGTACCCTTTAAAAAGGGAGAGAAAACAAAAAAAACAGCAAGATGCAATAAAAGTTGAACTTTGCATTAAAAAAATTAAATCTCTTATAATTTATTGAGTCAATTAATCCTTTAAGAAAATTTCATTGTTCTATCCAATTATTTAGTGTATAAAATTTTTTTTTTTGAGATGGAGTCTCGCTCTGTTGCCCAGGCTGGAGTGCAGTGGCTCGATCTCAGCTCACCGCAAGCTCCACCTCCTGGGTTCACACCATTCTCCTGCCTCAGCCTCCCGAGTAGCTGGGACTACAGGCGCCCGCCACCACGCCCGGCTAATTTTTTGTATTTTTTAGTAGAGATGGGGTTTCACCATGTTAGCCAAGATGGTCTCGATATCCTGACCTCGTGATCCGCCCGCCTCAGCCTCCCAAAGTGCTGGGATTACAGGTGTGAGCCACCGCGCCCGGCCATAAATTGTTTTTACATCAAGCCCAATCTCTAGAAAGACCATGTGATTTCCCTTTAATTATAGACAACTTGATCATATAAAAATTTTTGGGTTTTTTTTACAAATCCTCTTATTGTGACTTACACAGACCATTCGTGACATGCTTGGACTTTCTGGTTTGTCTTGAACAACCCTCTTTCTTAAACAGTCATTGTACATAGGACTAAATTTACCATACAAGATTCTTTCTCATATTACATTATTTCTCTTTAAGTTTTCTTACAAAAAAAAAAAGCTCTTTATTTTTATAGCTTTCTTTACATCTCTCTTATTTCCTGGTTCCTTTTCCCTTGTTTTATATATAACCTTTAAATGCGCTTTCAGTTAGACAAAAATTGTTCACCATTTTAAAAAGGACACACATTTTTTAGAAAGAATGTTTTCCTACAACATATTTTTATTGGAAAATACCCAAATAATGAAATATCCATTATTTAATTTAATATAACTTTAGGCTGGGCACAATGGCTCGTGCCTGTAATCCCAGCACTTTGGGAGGCCAAGGCGGGCAGATCACCTGAAGTCAGGAGTTCAAGACCAGCCTGGCCAACATGGTGAAACCCCATCTCTACTAAAAATACAAAAAATTAGATGGTGGTGGTGCATGCCTGTAATCCCAGCTACTTGGGAGGCTGAGGCAGGAGAATTGCCTGAATCTGGGAGGTGGAGGTTGCAGTGAGCCAAGATCGTGCCACTGCACTCCAGCCTAGGTGACAGAGAGACTCCATCTCAAAAAAAAAAAATTAATATAACTTTAGATTCTAAATTATGATGAGTTTGTCTATAATTACTTATACCATTACATTTACCTAATTATTTTATTTTAATCATTTACCTAGATTATTTATGAAAACTACAATAGACATCATTTAAAGTTATAGAACCACCATTTGCAAAATTATAACTGAGACAGTGAAAAGATTTGACCTAATTGACTCCATCTTGCTTCTAACCTCCAAGCTGTCTTTGTTCATTCCTGGGCATAGGCTGAACAAACTTTAGGAGGAACTTAGTTTATAGTTTAGCTTTGAAACAAAGACGATAACAATCCTCTCCCAAAACAAACCTTATGGCCTGTGGACTAGAACACCTAAAGCCACAAGATTAGAAGTTATGGTAATCTTACTAAATTCGAGATGTAGCTGTTTTCATTAAACCAATATCAATGTCTTATTTATTAAAAATTACAAAAGCAATTACACAAGGGTTGGGTTTATAGTTAGGGTTAGGGTAACCTATGTAACCCCTATGCCAATTTTGACACCTTATAGTATTTGGCAGGGATAAGTATGAAATTGCTTGATCAATAAATGCAAACAAAAATGTATGCTGGCAATTCTTAAGACATTTCTAATATTACTTTACCAATAATTTGCTAGCTTATTAAAGATTGTACATAAGTTATGTAAACTTGAAAAAGCATTTGACTAGTCTTTTCTTTTTTCCTGATAAAGTATTTGATGCAAACGCTTTTCTTTTCTTTTCTTTTCTTTTCTTTTTTTGAGATGAAGTCTAGCTCTGTCACCCAGGCTGGGGTGTAGTGGCACGATCTTGGCTCACTGCAACCTCACCTCCTGGGTTCAAGTGATTCTTCTGTCTCAGCCTCCTGAGTAGCTGGGATTACAGGTGCGCACCACCACGCCAAGCTAATTTTCTGTATTTTTAGTAGAGATGGGGTTTCACCATGTTAACCAGGCTGGTCTCGAACTCCTGACCTCATGATCCGCCCACCTCGGCCTCCCAAAGTGCTGGGATTACAGGCGTGAGCCACTGTGCCTGGCTATTTTCTTAAATCAATTAATTACAGCTCTTAATAAATTCAATAGTGAAACATTGTATACACATTAATTAATTCATTCATTAATTTTTTTTTTTTTTAGACAGAGTCTTAATCTGTCACCCAGGCTGGAGTGCAGTGCCTGAGATCGTGCCTCCCAAATCTAGGAATGAGAGAAGGAGAACAACCCCCTTTTGAGCACTCCTATGAAAACAACAGTTCAGTTCCTCACTCAAATACACACAGACAAGCAAAATCATGATTAATTTTGGGAGAAAAAGCAATAGAGCAGGCCCTTTAGAATGCATCTCCAAACTAGAATTAGGATCACTAAACAACAACTTTCTAGGAGAGAAAGAAAAACAGCCAAGACTACTCCCTGTAAACTGTGCTCAGTCACCCCTAACTTTGTAGCTGTTGTCCACAATTACACATGCCAAGGTCAAATCCTCTCACAGTACAAGGTCATCTCTGGTACCCCAAAGCCAAAAACGTCAGGTCATGCAATACAGGAAAACAGAGCTTTAGACTGAAGAAGAATCTGCCTATGACTTGAAACTCCACAAAGAAAACAGGACACCCCAAAAGGGGCGAGTGATGCCTTTGTTCTGAATTCTCTTTTTTTTTTTTTTTTTGAGACAGAGTCTGACTCTTGTTGCCCAGGCTGGAGTGCAGTGGCACAGTCTTGGCTCACTGCAAGCTCCGCCTCCTGGGTTTAAGCGATTCTCCTGCCTCAGCCTCCCAAGTAGCTGGGATTACAGGCACCCGCCACCACACCCGGCTAATGTTTTTGTATTTTTAGTAGAGACAGGGTTTTACCATGTTGGCCAGGCTGGTGTCAAAGTCCTGACCTCAGGTGATCCGCCTGCCTCGGCCTCCCAAAGTGCTGGGATTACAGGCGTGAGCCACCGTGCCCAGCCTGTTCTGAATTATTTAAAGGCGTTCAAGTCATTAGAATCCTTCTCTAGATTCTTTGCAAATGGCAAACGGGGGGAGGAGGTATAGGGTGAAAGAAAATAAATGAAAGAAGTTTTTTTAAAAAAAAACGAAGCAAACACAGAAACCAAGTGCATGGTTCTCTGGTTTTCTTTGTTTTGTTGTTTTTTCCACTTCTGCAGCTGCAAAGAATTTTAGCCAAATTAGACAGGCTTGTTATCCATAATTTGGAATTCTCACTCAGATTTGACCAAGTCAGGTATGGTTGGTCAAATCTGATGGGAGAAAGACCAGAATAAACAACAAAAAACCCCAACAATATGATCACAGAAGGGTCTAATGGAGAAATTAAGACCAGCTGATGGTTAAACGTTAGCCAAGACAAAACCCCAATTCGGCTACTTACCTAGGGATGGGTCTCAGGCCGAAGATGGCTCTCTACCATCCTAGAAGCAGGAAAAAACTCGAGCTCGTCTTCCCTGCTGGGATCGAGCTCAAACTCCATAAAGGAGTTACCTGCGTTCCATCATCATGGAAGCATGAAAGCTTGCCTTCCTTGTTGGACGCAAGACAAACTCCAAAAAGAAGGGAGTTGTACAGCAAATAAACTTTAGATCTTAACCAAATTTTGGAAGCTCAGGGATTCTCTGGAGGGGATGCTGCCAGATCTCAGCAAATTGTCCTGTTGGTTTGAGCCATAAAGTTAGCTCATGCTGGTACCAAGCACTGATAGGAGATTTGTCCAAATCAGGGGCATCTCCACTCAGAATCCCTCCGTGGTTACCAAAATGTGAACCCCGAATATCTGAGATGCTCTCAGTTAATTTAGAAAGTTTATTTTGCCGAGGTTGAGGACACATGCTCGTGACACAGCCTCAGGGGGTCCTGACAACATGTCCCCAAGGTGGTCAGAACACAGTTTTGTTTTATACATTTTAGGGAGACACAAGACATCAATGAACATACGTAAGACGAACATTGCTTTGGTTCAGAAAGGCGGGACAACTGGAAGCAGGGAGGGGACTCCCAGGTCATAAGTAGATCAGATATACATCTATCTCAGTGAGCAGACGGGTGACTTTGGATACAATGGGAGGCAGGTTTGCCCTAAGCAGTTCCTAGCTTGACTCTTCCCTTTAGCTTAGTGATTCTGGGGCCCCAAGATTTATTTTCCTTTCACAAGCTCATGCCTGGGCACAGGAGTGGGAGAGAGAGCTTGGGGACCAGGCTGCCCTCCTGAGAGAATGCCACAGTGGTGGGCATGAAGGAGTCCAGGGAGCAGGATTCCAGGTTGGGGAAACAGCAAGCTCAGTGGCCGGAGGCTGGAGGATGCCTGCAGCCAGCCTGGGCAGACAGCTTGAGGGCACTATATCAGAGACAAAAGTGACTCAATGACCCTTGTTAAAGCACAGTCAGGCACACTTCATTCAGGACCATCACCAGAGGTATAGAGACCACTGGAAGGGGAATTGGCAGCGGGGGAGAAAGACTGGACTCAAACCCAAATACAGCCTGGGTAACTGGGAGTTTATAGCCAAGGAGCAGGGTGGGGGCAGGAGATGTTAATGTACTAAGGGAAAGCATCAGGTGTGAAGAGGATTCTTGCTGAGGACAGGCCAGAGTGACCAACATCACCTGCCAGGTGGTGGAGGGTGAGGAACCTGACCAGATATGATTGCAACCGCCTTTGCAAAACTGCGACTGAAGCAGTGAAGGAGATCTAACATCTAACATCTAACCAGCTCCATCCTGCTTCTAGCCTTTAAGCCATGCTTGTTCCTCCATGGGCGCAGGTTGAACTAACTTTGGGAGGAGCTTGGTTTATAGTTGACAGTTTAAAACAAAGATGAACAGCCCTTTCCCCAAACAAACCTCTTTCTTCCCTGCGGACTAGTCTGCCTTTATAGGACTAACAAATTAGCCACAAGATTACAAATTATGGTTTAGGAGTCATGCTGCTGGAGGCTGCAAGATTCTGATCTTCCCTAAACTGCTCCTAAGTAAGAACAGTGCAGATTCTGATCCTCCCTAAACTGCTCCTAAGTAAGATCAGTGCAGATTCTGATCCTCCCTAAACTGCTCCTAAGTAAGATCAGTGCACATTCTGATCCTCCCTAAACTGCTCCTAAGTAAGATCAGTGCAGATTCTGATCCTCCCTAAACTGCTCCTAAGTAAGATCAGCGCAGATTCTGATCCTCCCTAAACTGCTCCTAAGTAAGATCAGCGCAGATTCTGATCCTCCCTAAACTGCTCCTAAGTAAGAACAGCGCAGATTCTGATCCTCCCTAAACTGCTCCTAAGTAAGAACAGCGCAGATTCTGACCCTCCCTAAACTGCTCCTAAGATCAGTGCAGATTCTGACCCTCCCTACACTGCTCCTAAGATCAGTGCAGATTCTGACCCTCCCTAAACTGCTCCTAAGATCAGTGCAGATTCTGACCCTCCCTAAACTGCTCCTAAGATCAGTGCAGATTCTGATCCTCCCTACACTGCTCCTAAGATCAGTGCAGATTCTGATCCTCCCTAAACTGCTCCTAAGTAAGATCAGTGCAGATTCTGACCCTCCCTACACTGCTCCTAAGATCAGTGCAGATTCTGATCCTCCCTAAACTGCTCCTAAGATCAGTGCAGATTCTGACCCTCCCTAAACTGCTCCTAAGATCAGCGCTTGAGGTATTTGCAGACCCTGCGCTTGATGCATCAGTTGGCACCACCCAGATCCATAAACTGGCTCATCTGATCCTGTGGCCTCAACCCAGCAGCTGACTCGGCACAAGAGGACAGCTTCGGCTCCCCATGATTTTGTCTCCAACCCAACCAATCAGCATTCTCAACTCACTGGCCTTCCCCCACTCACCAAATTACCCTCAAAAACTCTGCTCCCCGAATGCTCGGGGAGACTGATTTGAGTAATAATAAAACTCTGGTCTCCCATACAGCCGGCTCTGCGTGAATTACTCTTTCTCTATTGCAATTCCCCTGTCTTGATAAATCGGCTCTGTGCAGGCAGCGGGCAAAGTGAACTCACTGGGTGGTTACATAAAGGGTGATCAGGTCCTTACTAAAACTGGATTTTACAAGGAAGTGCACAGATGGGCTCCGGAGAAGGTTCAGGAGCTGCCGTCTGCCCAAGCAGAGAAGCTTTCATTGCCACACAGCAGCTACCTCACACCTGCCACGGTTCTTGTGGGCAGTGGATTCCGTCCTCATCTGCTCAAGACTGTGCCCCCAAGCCGGGCGCAGTGGCTCACGCCTGTAATCCCAGCACTTTGGGAGGCCGAGGTGGGCGGATCACAAGGTCAGGAGATTGAGACCACCCCGGCTAACACGGTGAAACCCCATCTCTACTAAAAAAATATTAAAAAATTAGCGAGGCGTGGTAGCGGGCTCCCGTAGTCCCAGCTACTCAGGAGGCTGAGGCAGGAGAATGGCGTGAACCCGGGAGGCGGAGCTTGCATTGAGCCGAGATCACGCCACTGCACTCCAGCCAGCCTGGACGACGCAGCGAGACTCCGTCTCAAAAAAAAAAAAAAAAAGGGCTGCCCCTCTTTCTGGGAACCTCCTGCCTTCCTCTCCCTGCCAGTGGGTTCCACAAGAACCTCCCAGTCAGTACCTGCCACCCCCTTGGCCAGGTCATGTATCTGCCCAGCTGGGACCAGCAGAGCCCTTTCAGAGTTGGGACCAACCAGAGGGCCTCAAGGTGGTTGATGGGACAAGGATGGAGCAGGCCCACAGGGGTGGGGAAGATGAAGGCCACCAGGGGGCCTAAGGTGGATCCCCATGTCAGCAGGTCTCATGAACTGCTGCAGAATCCCTCCACTCAGGCCACGTGTTCCCGCTGAAGCAGCTCAACTCCCCACCCTCCCCATGCAGAGGCTTCTTCCATCCCTTGTCCAAGGTGCAAAAAGACAAGACCCATGCCCCTCATTTCAAGGCCCTCTCCTGACTGTGGGTGTTAGTCCCAAATTAGCAATGCCCCAGGCGTCCAGAGCCACTTCCCGAACCCCAGCAGGCTGCCTCCAATTGGGGCTCTGTCAATGCAGAAAAAGAACTCACATCTCCAAAAGGCAGGATGGCCTGCAGAGCTTGGCTTTGAACAAACATAGCTGGCAGCACACACATCCCCTCCTCCAGGCCGGGAGGTCAGGGCTGGGCCGAGGCAGCTGTCACGTGGGCAACCCCTGAGCGGCCTCCAGAGCCCAGGGGGAAGGGGCCACCATTTGCGTAACACTACAACCCTAAGCAGGCTCTTCTCGGGAAGAAGGGGCCGGTCCTGGGGTAGTTCCCAGCTTCCAGTTGAAAGAGAATAAAGTGCCTTTGATTGTCTCCTTTTAAACTCCAATTCACAGCGCCAACCAGCTGCGATAGCTCCAATTACAGGTTCAAAGATTTCTGGGCCACCGAGCAGCTTTCTGTTCTGGCTCCAGATGGAAGCACCAGCAGCGCACCCCTGCCCCCAGCCCCGCCACACACAGGCACAGACACCACACTGGAATGTAACATCAAGGGGCTCGCTGGCAGAGACTGGCACCTCCTGCTCTCCACAAGGTCAGCAGCAGCCTCAAGCCCAGCCCCTTCCCACCCCATCTCTGGGAGTCCCTTCAAACTTTGCTCCCACATGGCCTCTATCTTGGAGCTTTCATGTTTCCTCAGGAAAATGCCAGCTCCCCACACACAGCTGGGCTTCAGTGGAAGTCGAGTCCTGAACCCTCACCCTGGTCCCCAGAGGCTCTTCCAGAGCCCTGTCCACCTTCCCACTGGCTGCAGGGTCAGTGACCAGGGAAAGCGCTTCCCATCAGGAGACCAGGTCCTGCTCCTCCCCGAGGGGCAACCTGAGCTTGTGGAGAAACGCAAGGTCAAGGAGCTGCCCTGGGGAGCCACCCTAGGAGGGGCCACCCTGAGGGAGCTGTCCTGGGGACACCTGCAGTGGAAACTGTTCAGGGCAGGGGCTATGGAGAGGGATACCCTGGCAGGGCCCAATTACTACAGCAACCTTGGGGCCCTCAGCCACACAGAATAAAATCCTCACCGAAGCCCCCTCTGGGGCTCTCTCTTACACTGATGAGAAAAAGAAGTAGCTCAGAGCAGAGTCGGAACTAGGCGGGGTGTACGGCCAAGAGGGATGAGTGTGGGGCCTCAGTAATCCCACACTTCTGCAAAAATGGCTGGGGACAATTGTTTCAGGACGCTTTGTTCCAGACCAGCTGCCTCACCATTATCTTCATGTTCTTGGAATTTGTGACACAACGAACAATGTAGGCCGGGTATGATGGCTCACACCGGTAAATCCCAGCTACTCAGGAGGCTGAGGCACAGGAAATCACTTGAGCCCGGGAGGCGGAGGGCACAGTGAGCACTCCAGGCTGGGCAACACAGCGAGACTCTGTCTCAAAAAGAAAGAACAATGTATAGCCAATGTTATCTGTTTTTGTTTTTTCTGTTTTGTTTTTGAGACGGAGTCTCACTCTGGCACCCAGGCTGGAGTGCAATGGCGCAATCTCGGCTCACTGCAACCTCCACTTCCCAGGTTCAAGCAATTCTCCTGCCTCAACCTCCCAAGTAGCTGAGATTACAGGTACACGCCACCACACCTGGCTAATTTTTGTATTTTTAGTAGAGACAGGGTTTCGCCATGTTGGCCCAGCTGGTCTCGAACTCCTGACCTCAAGTGATCCACCCGCCTTGGCCTCCCAAAGTGCTGGGATTACAAGCGTGAGCCACCGCGCCCAGCCACCTCTTTTCCTTCGAAAAACTACTGTAACTGTTGCCAATCAGAGTGTATATTCAGGGCAAATAGAATCTCTGCTCCCAGGTTGCAATCCTCAAGCTTGGCCCAAATAAACCCTCCGCTCATGTTAATGTTGCTTCAGCTTCTTTCTTTTAGGTCAACGTTCAGTACGCGTCTGTCATTTCCATTTGACTGTTAAACAAACTGGAGACTATAGAGGCCAAGGGAAAACTTGCCCTCTGCCCTCAGGAGATTCACGGAAAATCAACTGACAAAGTAAGAGAAAAGGCATACAGATTTATTCATGCACACAGGGAGAACCAGAGTGATGACCCCAACCTCCCAATGGGGTTCGGAAGCTTATATACCATCTTGAGGTTACAGAAAGAACATGGGCTCAAAGTATGGCCACAGTTTATGGTGGAAAATCAGGTGACCAGTGGCAAGACCGGTTACAGGAGGGAGAGCAGAGGAGGCCTGGCTAGCAAAGGTGGCCTTGTTCTACAGATGAAACCTCACAGGTAGCAGCCCTGAGAGAGAACAGATGGTGAATGTTCCCTTCAGGCCTTTAAAGGCGTCAGACTGTTACTCTTCCCAGATCAGGCAAGGAGGGCCTCAGAGGAGGCCTGGCCGCATCAGTGTAGATTCTCTCCACAGATGCAAATCTCCCCCACAAAAGACAGCTTTTCAGCTATTCTTCTATTTCCAGTCCTTCTGAGTAACTGTCTTGAACCGTGTCAAGGAAATATTTTTGTTGTTGTTGTTTGTTTGTTTTGAGGCAGAGTCTCACTCCGTCACCCAGGCTGGAGTGCAGTGGTGCAATCTCAGCTCACTGCAACCTCCACCTACTGGGTTCAAGTGATTCTCCTGCTTCAGCCTCCCTGGGATTACAGGCATGCACCACCATGCCTGGCTAATTTTTGTATTTTTAGTAGAGACGGGGTCTCGCCATGTTGGCCAGCCTGGTCTCAAACTCCTGACCTCAGGTGATCTGCCCACCTCGGCCTCACGAAGTGCTGGGATTACAGGCGTGAGTCACCATGCCCAGCCATGGAAATACATTTTGGGGCGAAATATTTTGGTTTCCTTCAGTCCCCACTTTGAGACTTTCAGAAAGTTGCCCATATAAAAAGAAAGTTGATAGCTTTGAAGAGATTTGAGTTAGAGGTTGTTAGATAAGAGACAGGCAGAGGCGGGCAAAAAGAAATTGGGATAAGCAGAAAAAGACAAATTTAAATGTCATCCTGGCAGGGCACAGTGGCTCATGGCTGTAAATCTCAGCACTTTGGGAAGCTGAGGCAGGAGGAGCACTTGAGCCCAGGTGTTCAGACCAGCCCGGGCATCACAGGGAGACTCTATTGCTACAAAAAATAAAAAATTAGCCAGGCATGGTAGTTTGTGTCTGTGGTCCCAGCTACCTGGGAGGCTGATGCAGCAGGATGACCTGAGCCTGGGAAGTCAAGTCTGCAGAGAGCTGTGATCACACCACTTTGTGGGTGAGTGAGTGAGACCCTGTCTCTGAAAAATAGATATGTATCATGCCATATTTTCTTGAATCCGTCTCTTAGTCCTGAGACTAGATCAGCTCAGTTAAACAGCTGTATCCTATTCCAAGAAGTGGCATTGCAGATGGGCTGGGACCTCGTATATAATTCACACAAACAGATCTTTAACAAGATACAATTCTATGGAAACAGAAGAAAAAAAACGGTGAATGTCTGGTGTCATCCATAGACTAGCTTTTCTAGCTCTCCTCAATCTGAGGCATCTGGAGCATCTTCAGATTGCAATGGCAATTTGACAGATTTTTCTGGATTGTAGTTCTAATTGGGTGTTCAAGTGAACTTTCTGAATAGTCCATATATCAACAGGCACAAAGGCTATTTATACATAAGTCGCTGTGATGATTTCTCCTGAAGATTATAAGTAATTTAGCTTCAGTTGCAGGGCTTCAAGAAAAGCCATTTTAATTTCCAGTGATTTTAAATCAGAAAAATGGGAGAAAAACTGGAAAGCATTAGTTTAGAGACTTGGAGCTAGGAAAGAATGCAGGATTCAGTTCAAACTATAGGCAAATGATAACAACTCAAAAACAAGTCAGTCCGGACTCTCGTAACAGGTGTCAACAGTCAGTCCGGACTCTAATAACAGGTGTCAACAGTCAGTCCGGACTCTAATAACAGGTGTCAACAGTCAGTCCGGACTCTAATAACAGGTGTCAACAGTCAGTCCGGACTCTCCTCACGGCAGGTGTCAACAGTCAGTCCGGACTCTAATGACAGGTGTCAACAGTCAGTCCGGACTCTTGTGACAGGTGTCAACAGTCAGTCCGGACTCTCGTGACAGGTGTCAACAGTCAGTCCGGACTCTAATAACAGGTGTCAACAGTCAGTCTGGACTCTAATAACAGGTATACTATAGTTTTCTTCTAAAACATATTTTTTCTCTCTCCAGTCTCCCTTTTCCACAAAAGACAAATCAGAGTAAGAACAACTGATTTACAAAATAAGTTTTAGTCTTATTATAATTGGCCTGATTATTTGCATAAAGTACAGTAATAATAGTGACTGGCCATTCAACCTCTTTTAAAGTTGGCTTTGCCAGAACTTTTTCATAAGGAATCTCAGATTAGACTTTTAAAAGCATCTTGAGGCCGGGCATGGTGGCTCACGCCTGTAATCCCAGCACTTTGGGAGGCCGAGGCGGGCGGATCGTGGGCTCAGGAGATCAAGACTATCCTGGCTAACACAGTGAAACCCCATCTCTACTAAAAATACAAAGAAAATCAGCCACGTGTGGTGGCGGGCGCCTGTAGTACCAGCTACTCAGGAGGCTAAGGCAGGAGAATGGCATGAACCCGGGAGACGGAGCTTGCAGTGAGCCAAGACCGCGCCACTACACTCCAGCCTGGGCGACAGAGCGAGATCGGTCTCAAAAAAAAAAAACCAAAAACCAAAAAAAAAAAAAAAAAAAAAAAGTACTTGTCTGGGTACTTTACATGAGTTTCCTTGAGGAAGAAGCAAGTCTTGAACTGTAGCTAATTATAAGCTGCTTTTTAAAAAGAATCAAAGTAAAACAGTAATTGACTGTGGATGACAGATGACTTAGACTAATGATGGTTACAGATGCAATTCACAAGGAGATTTGTTTTTTTGTGTGACATACAACAATTTAACATAATAATTATAATTTTGAGCCAGGCGTGGTGGCTCATACCTGTAATCCCTGCACTTTGGGAGACCAAGGCAGGAGGGCTGCTTGAGCTCAGGAGTTCGAGATGAGCCTGGGTGGCACAGCAAGATCCTGTCTCCAAAATAATAAATAAATAAATAAAGACAGCATGAGGCAAACTCTCTACTCCTCCTTTTTTTTTGTGAGACAGAGTCTCACTCTTGTTGCCCAGGCTGGAGTGCAGTGGCACAATCTCAGCTCACTGCAACCTCCGCCTCCCGGGTTCAAGCGATTCTCCTGCCTCGGCCTCCTGAGTAGCTGGGACTACAGGCAGGCGCCACCACGCCTGGCTAATTTTTGTATTTTTAGTAGAGATGGGGTTTCACCATCTTGGCCAGGCTAGTCTCAAACGCCTGACCTCAGGTGATCCACCCACCTCGGCCTCCCAAAGTGCTGGGATTACAGGTGTGAACCACCGTACCGGGCCTACTCCTCCTTTTCTTGTAGTTTACTCAAAAGGTAAACAAAAATCTTTTACTGTCTCTTATTAATACTACATGAAAATCTTACTCAAAAATGAAAACTAAATTCTACCTTTACATTAGCATATTATTAATACTAAAGCTAATTTTAATAAAAACTTAAAAACAGATCCATTCAATCTCAATCAGCTTTGACCACATAAGATTTCCATAAACCTTTAATAACCTCTTAAAATTTGTTCCATTCTTTGTTTCTCAAACTTTCTATATATATTCAGTTTTATCTATCATTTTTTTATTCCTTTAATTTAAAACAACCTTTAAAAACATCAAAACTAGACAAAATTACTTTTCCTTTAACAAAAACCTCATTCTCATGCCTTCTTTATAACCTTCCTTACCAAAAACACATCCTACTTTCTTATAAACTTTGCATACAGAAGTGTTTCTCTTATATCTAGTAGTTTTAAATACATATATTAATTACAATGTTAACTCTTAGGAAGCCTAATTTTCAGTGAAAAACATGGGAAGTAAGCAATTTTAATTGTTATTAAAGATGCAAAGCCCAGGACAAAGGACAGAGCTTTAAAGACTGATATGGTTTGGCTGTGTCCCCACCCAAATCTCATCTTGAACTGTAGTTCCCAAAATCCACAGGTGTTGTGGGAGGGACCCAGTGGGAGGTGATTAGATGAAGGGGGCGGTTCCCCCACGCTGTTTTTGTGCTAGTGAGTTCTCACGAGGTCTCATGGTTTCATGAGGTGCTTCCCCACTCTTCGCTCTGCACACCTCCTTCCTGACCTCATGTGAAGAACGTGTTTGCTTCCTCTTCCGCCATGATTGTAAGTTTCCTGAGGCTTCCCAGCCACGCTGAACTGTGAGTCAATTAAACCTCTTTCCTTTACAAATCACCCAGTCTCAGGTATGTCTTTATTAGCAGTGTGAGAATGGGCTACTACAAAGACAATGCCTGGAGGACTCAACCCCTCCCAGCATGACCGGGGGGCACAGCTGGGCCAGGGAGGACAATGCTCGGGCACTGCAGACACACAGCATGACCGGGGGGCACAGCTGGGCAAGAGAGGACAATGCTCGGGCACTGCAGACACACAGCATGGCTGGGGCGCACAGCTGGGCTAGGGAGGACGGGGCTCAGGCACTGCAGACACACAGTATGGCCGGGGGGCACAGCTGGGCTAGGGAGGACGGGGCTCGGGCACTGCAGACAAACAGCATGACCGGGGGGTACAGCTGGGCCAGGGAGGATGGGGCTTAGGTACTGCGGACACACAGATGTCTCCAGGCCACATCATGTCCACTTGTCTTGACCCCAGAATGTAGAGGCTCAAAGCCAAAGACCTAAGTTCACAGACAAATTAAGCAAGTATCAGAAATATGACAGAAGCAAATTTTATGACCTTAAAGCATCTAACAGAGACTGTCTGAACCTGTCCGACCAATGGGCCCAAGCAAAGATGTCTCAATTATATTTAAGACTGACGACTTTGAAGATATTCTAATTTTAGCATCATTTTTTTTTTTGAGATGGAGTCTCACTCTGTCACCCAGGCTAGAGTGCAGTAGTGCAGTCTCGGCTCACTGCAACCTCTACCTCCCAGGTTCAAGTGATTCTCCTGCCTCAGCCTCCTGAGTAGCTAGGACTACAGGCGCATGCCACCACGCCTGGCTAATTTTTGTATTTTTAGTAGAGACGGGGTTTCACCATGTTGGCCAGGATGGTCTCGATCTCTTGACCTCGTGATTTGCCCGCCTCAGCCTCCCAAAGTGCTGGGATTACAGGTGTGAGCCACTGCACCCAGCAGCAACAATTTTAAAACTAAGTTTATTTGCCAAAGATTACTAGTCACATGAACTAGAAAAGCATCTGGGTTTAGTTACATCATTCATGAGCACTTATTTATTTATACGTCAATTTGCTACTATGTACATAATATACAAACAGGCATGTACACATAAAAATACAGACACAAATCAAGATTTTATAGCTTTAGTTTTAAGATTTTAGCCACGAATCGGGTAAAAATCACTAGTTTAAAAGGATACTTAAAATTGTGCCTCTGTAAATGGAACAAGGTAAAATTTATCTGTCTCACACGGCCAAAGCCCTTACCAAGTTTTAGAGAAAACAAGGCAACAAATTTACATCTTGAAGCACAGAGAAAAAAAAATTATTTTTATTTACTGAATTTTTTCAAGACGGAGTCTTGCTCTGTCGCCCAGGTTGGAGTGCAACGGCACGATCTTGACTCACTGCAACCTCTGCCTCCTTGGTTCAAGCAATTCCACAGGGAGAAAGTTTAAGCTTTGATTTAGTATGTTAAAGGAAGATTTTAAATGGATGCTGAGGTAACAAAAAGTCATAGAAATTCACCACAGGATTTTATAAGGACAACAATGTTATTTAAATATGTGGCTATTAATTTATTCTCCATTTTTGAACTAGACCACTGGGCTCAGGACAGAGCTCATTAATGAACATGGCCAAAAAAGCATTTGCAGTTTGGAGGACCTAATATTTAAATATGTGAAAAACAGGTGCAGCTGGAAGGCAGAGCATCTAGATCTTTTAAAATCAAGGATCCCACATTTACACTGAATGCTGAGTTCCCTCTAAAAAGAGATATATATGAGACAAAGCCATACAGTGTTTCCACAGTGTACCTCACTATGAAGACATTCCCCTGAGGCTGGTGGGAGACCCACAGCAATCAGCCCACGGAGTCTCAGCCTTTGACGCCAAGTGCTTCCATAGTCTCCAAGTGTTCAGATTGTGCCTTTCTCATCTAAACATGCAGAGAAACAAGCAGCCACTGCAGGAACAACCATTCACTACAACTGCTTTCAGCCACCTCCAAAACTGTGAGGCAGCCCTCGCCAGTGACCTGCCGGCCATCACACACACTCAGGTCATGCACTGTCTCACAGTGCAACGTAATCCCTGGTACCCCCAAAGCCAAAGAGATCCAGTGACACAGTGCCAAAGACAGCCAAGCTTTAGACCCGAGAGGAAGCTACCCACGACTCCTCAGGCCCCATAAGGAAGACAAAAGCGGGGCGCGTGGCACCTTTCTTTGCGTTCCCCAAGGGGTCTCTAAGTCATCAGAAGTCCCTTGTAGATCCCTTCATTAGGTACCAAAGATGGCAAAGGGGATGGAGGAGCACGGAGGGGTAGAAGTAAATGGGACTGCAATCCTTAGAGGAGCCAATTTGGAAAAATGTTAAGGTTCTAAAAGGCCAATACAATTTTACATTTTTCTCATCAAAATTATACCAACAAAGGAACCAAACAGAAGGACCAAACACACAATTTAAAGGGGTTTCAGTCACCTGAAAAAAAAATTCCCAGAAACAGGGTCCAAAAGCAGAAAAGGCTGTAGATACATGGCTTGAAGATCAGCTCACCTGTTTTTAATTAAGCCAACTTCTGACCACAGAGCTCTTTTTTAAAATCCTTTCAAATATCTTATTATCAGATTTTAGCTGAGACCAACAGCTGATAGCCATGGCTTTGAGACCTTTTTTTTTAAAACCAAAGGTACCTCCCAAGTGACTCACCAAAACCAATAAGCCTTAACTAAAGCTATGGACTTAACCAAGGACACATAAGCCATCTCCAAAGAGGCGCAAAGCAGTCCTGATGACATCCAGAGCCACCCCAAAGAGCTCAAAGAAAGGAAATCAAAAGCTGCCAGTGGAGGGGGAAAGGGTCAACAACAAATGAGTTCCGCACAAAGTCAAAAGTTGGCTGGGTGCGTGGCTCACGCTGGTAATCCCAGCACTTTGGGAGGCCGAGGCAGCCGGATCACAAGGTCAGGAGTTCGAGACCAGCCTGGCCAACACGGTGAAACCCCATGTCTACTAAAAATACAAAAAAAAAAAAGAAAAAAAAAGAAAATTAGCTGGGCGTGGTGGCTCACACCTGTAATCCCAGCACTCTGGGAGGCCAAGGCGGGAGGATCACGAGGTCAGGAGTTCGAGACCAGCCTGGCCAACATGGTGAAACCCCATCTCTACTAAAAATACACACACACAAAAAAATCAGCCGGGCGTGGTGGCTCACACCTGTAATCCCAGCTACTCCAGAGGCTGAGGCAGGAGAATTGCTTAAACCCAGGAGGCAGAGGGTGCAGTGAGCCAAGATCATGCCACTGCACTCCAGCCTGGGCGACAGAGCAAGACTCCGTCTCCAAAAAAAAAACAAAAGAAAGAATTCAAAAGTCACACAAATATCAAACCAAAAGGGACTGGTTCCTCTATTGGGAATTGAACCCAGGCCATGGTAGTGAAAGTACAGAATTTTAAGTAGTTTCCAAGATGCAGCAGTCTTCATTGTGAATCCTGCAGGGATCCAAAGCAATGGTTTGCGCGCACAAAGGATTTTAACTTGTTACAGGTCAGATTTTTGCTCTTTAATTTTGTGAAGAGGATTTCTAAGGCTAGCCACAACATTATTATGTGTCTTTCCTTTAATCTCCCCACAAATACAAATAAGGCAATTGTTTAGAATGAGAGACCTCTAAAATCTTTTTTTTTTTTTAATTTAGGGATCTTTCTAATGTAAAGGATTCATCTTTTGGCTATTGACAATCAGAATTTCCAATGATGTATTTATTCCAATAGCAACTCAATCCAAGAAGCCCCTTCATGGAAAGCCCAAAAGATTATTTTCCAGGTTTAGAGAGGGCATAGAAGAGGAGGTTCCAATGATGCCCCCAAAATTCACTCCCAGGAATAGGCAAAGACAGCAAAAGACTCTTGTTCCCAGAGACAGTTAAGGAACGTGTTTGTACATACAGTGCCTCCAGTAACACACAATCTGTCAGGGGCTGCCAGTCACAGACCCATTAACCTGTAACACAGGGTAGGCCTGTTGGGATTGGGCTTTCTGAGGACTGACCAGGCAACAAACATTGGGATGACAAAAGCCCCTTATGGATGGGCCTGAGGAGAGCAAAAACCACCTGGCGACCATCAAACATCAAACAGGCCCTCCGAGGCAAAACTCCTTATCTGGGGAAAATCAAAAGTAACTAAACCTCCCTATTATCTAAAGCAGGCATCTGGTTCCAGATTTCTTCCCCCAAAAAACGTGTAAGTAACTATAATTTCTATGTGTCTCCAGAATACCATGACGAAACTCACTGTACAACCGTCGCTGACATTAAGGCACCAAAATTACTATAAATGTAATCATTTATCATGACTTACGTGGCTAATATGGTCCAAATTACTGTTAAGCCTCCACTTTAAGGCCTATAAATGCCCTTAAGGAGAAATCCACCCGGCGTACTCAGTCCTCTTGCTGAGGCACCTCATTGCACTCTTCTGCAGCATTCTAATAAACTTTCTTTCTTTTCTTTTTTTTTCTTTTTTTTTTTTTTGAGATGGAGTTTCACTCTTGTTGCCCAGGCTGGAGTGCAATGGTATGATCTCAGCTCACCACAACCTCCATCTCCCAGGTTCAAGCGATTCTCCTGCCTCAGCCTCCCAAGTAGCTGGGAATACAGGCTCCCGACACCATGCCCAGCTAATTTTTTGTATTTTTAGTAGAGATGGGGTTTCATCATGTTGGCCAGGCTGGTCTTGAACTCCTGCCCTCAGGTGATCCACCTGCCTCAGCATCCCAAAGTGCTGGGATTACAGGCGTGAGCCACCGTGCCCGGCAAACTTTCTTTTTTCTTTTTTTTTTTGAGACAGTCTTGCTCTGTCTCAGCTCACTGCAACCTCCGCCTCCCAGGTTCAAGCAATTCTCCTGCCTCAGCCTTCCAAGTAGCTGGGATTACAGCCACGCACCACCACACCTGGCTAAGTTTTATACTTTCAGTAGAGACAGGGTTTCTCCATGTTGGCCAGGCTGGTCTCAAACTCCTGACCTCAGGTGATCCACCCACCTTGGACTTCCAAAGTGCTGAGAGTACAAGCATGAGCCACTATGCCCGGCCAAACTTTCCTTTTTCAAACCTATTGTCGGTAAACTCTTTTTACCAACCCGCAAGTTGACCACCACTCCCAGTGCCGGGGCTCTGACAGCTCGCCTGGCAGGGACTTCTTAAGACAAACTAAAAGCTTGACACATTCAGAACAAAAACGGTGCTGCTTAAAATATTAAATGTCTTGGGTTCCCAACCATTTTCAGACTGACCACAAAATGTGACCTGCGAGTCACTACCTCGGATTGGCAGAGGCCAAGAGAGTGCTCCTGAGGTAGGAGGTGGGACTTAGTTGACCCAGTTGAGGATTGGCTAAAACAGGGTTGGGGCAATAGCAGCTTTCAGTCAGATATGCCCGCCACTGTGCCATGTCAGTTTACCATTGCCATGGCAACACCCAGGAGTTGCCACCCCTTTCCATGGCAATGACCCAATGATGACTACTCCTTCCCTAGAAACTTCTGCATAAACCATCCTTTAATCTACATGCAATCAAAAGTGCGTATAAATGTGACTGCAAAACTGCCCTGAGCTGCTACTCTCAGCCTACGGGGTGGCCCTGCTCTGCAGGAGCAGTCACAGAGCTCTAACGCCACCTGTTCAATAAAGCTGTTTTCTTCTACCTCTGGCTTGTCTTTGAATTCTTTCCTGGGCAAAGCCAAAACCCTCACTGGCTAAGCTCCACTCTGGGGTCTGCCTGGCCTGCATCATTCCCACTCGCTCACAACTCAAGCTTTCAAGGACATCAAAAGAGAGGAGAATCTCATCCAGTTTTCAGTTCAGGGACCCACAGCAAAGTCTGTCTAACTAGACGCATCCGATCAGAGCTGCAAAACTGACTAGCCTGCAGGACGGCCCCAAGACGGGGTTTACAGGGGTTTTAGGCCTGTGTTCTACCCTCTTTATGACAGAAAAACACAGAAAGACAAGAATGAAAGACGACTATTTCTGGGGAAAAAAAGCAATCAAACAATATGAATACAAAACTAATCACATAAATACATTTCTCTCATTAAAACTTTGAAGAGGAAAACAAGGTAAACAGACATTTTTACCGTCGGCTTGACAAGATTCCAGAGAGGCCGGGAGCCTGGCTGCTAAGACCTTCTTACCCTTCTTTCTGCCAGCTTGTCGGCTCCTGGGTTCCCCTGACGGAGGCTCCCAGGAGAGTGACTTTAGTTATCCTACCGACTGCACCAAAACTGTAGGAGCCTAGAGAAAAACTTTTCTGCATTCTGAGTTCACAGAAAATCAACTGACAAAAGCCAGGTTAGTAAGAAAAAAGGCATACAGATTTATTCATGCACACAGGGAGAACCAGAGTGATGACCCCAACCTCCCAATGGGGTTCGGAAGCTTATATACCATCTTGAGGTTACAGAAAGAACATGGGCTCAAAGTATGGCCACAGTTTATGGTGGAAAATCAGGTGACCAGTGGCAAGACCGGTTACAGGAGGGAGAGCAGAGGAGGCCTGGCTAGCAAAGGTGGCCTTGTTCTACAGATGAAACCTCACAGGTAGCAGCCCTGAGAGAGAACAGATGGTGAATGTTCCCTTCAGGCCTTTAAAGGCGTCAGACTGTTACTCTTCCCAGATCAGGCAAGGAGGGCCTCAGAGGAGGCCTGGCCGCATCAGTGTAGATTCTCTCCACAGATGCAAATCTCCCCCACAAAAGACAGCTTTTCAGCTATTCTTCTATTTCCAGTCCTTCTGAGTAACTGTCTTGAACCGTGTCAAGGAAATATATTTGGAGGTGACATATTGTGTTTTCCTTCAAGATCAAAAAGGTTAAGTCCAAGGCTGCCCAACGAGGGAGCGAGGACCCAATCACGTTGTCCTCAGATGAGTTTTTCCCCAGCAGCGTAACCCTGCAACAGGCCAGACTGGACCCCAGACACACATTCCACACCACACCACGCCTCCACCACCACACGCACACAACAGACACACCCTAAACACCAGACACACACACACACCTCAACCACCGCAAACACACATACGCCACACCTCTAACACCACACACACCCAACACCACACACATACGTGCCTCAAACACTACACACACCTCAACCACCATACACCTCAACCACACACACCCCTCAAACACCAAACACACCCCTCAACCACACACACACACCCCTCAAACACCACACACCCACCTCAAACACCACACACACATATCCCTCAAACACTACAAAAACACACACACACACCTCAAACACCACACATGCACACACACCTGAAACACCACACACCTGCCTCAAACACTCCACACACACCACACACAGACACGTACACAGCCCCCCGCACCCAGCCACAGCTTACACGCACACAGACACGCGTACGCAGGAGAAAGGGTGTCAAAGCTTTTGCTAGTCGTGAAGGAAGAGCCCGCAGTCCATGGGGCTGCACGGTTTTCCCTGCCATTTGCTCATTCACCGGGTGCCCATAACGCTCCGCGCTCAGGTCTCTTACAGGAGGGCCCGAGTCTCCCAGTACCGGAGGTCTGGGGGCGCACGAGCCGCTCCTCCTCTGGAGAAGCTCCGGACCGAGAGGACACCGGACACTGCGCAGCGCCGAGCCCCGCGCGCAGCCCGGGACGCCTCAGCCAGGGCCGACCGCGCAGAGGAAGCTCCCAGAGCCCGTTTCAAGACCGCAGCCAACAGCCTCAGGCGCACACGGCGGCCTCGGAGCGAGCACGCGCAGCAACGCCCCTCGCCCCGGCCCGCCCCCGGCCCCGCCCCCGGCCCCGCCCCCGGCCCCGCCCCGCAAGGGTCACAGGTCACGGGGCGGGGCCGAGGCGGAAGCGCCCGCAGCCCGGTACCGGCTCCTCCTGGGCTCCCTCTAGCGCCTTCCCCCCGGCCCGACTCCGCTGGTCAGCGCCAAGTGACTTACGCCCCCGACCCTGAGCCCGGACCGCTAGGCGAGGAGGATCAGATCTCCGCTCGAGAATCTGAAGGTGCCCTGGTCCTGGAGGAGTTCCGTCCCAGCCCGCGGTCTCCCGGTACTGTCGGGCCCCGGCCCTCTGGAGCTTCAGGAGGCGGCCGTCAGGGTCGGGGAGTATTTGGGTCCGGGGTCTCAGGGAAGGGCGGCGCCTGGGTCTGCGGTATCGGAAAGAGCCTGCTGGAGCCAAGTAGCCCTCCCTCTCTTGGGACAGACCCCTCGGTCCCATGTCCATGGGGGCACCGCGGTCCCTCCTCCTGGCCCTGGCTGCTGGCCTGGCCGTTGCCCGTCCGCCCAACATCGTGCTGATCTTTGCCGACGACCTCGGCTATGGGGACCTGGGCTGCTATGGGCACCCCAGCTCTACCACTCCCAACCTGGACCAGCTGGCGGCGGGAGGGCTGCGGTTCACAGACTTCTACGTGCCTGTGTCTCTGTGCACACCCTCTAGGTAAAGAGGGGGCCGCGCCTCTTCCCCGCCCCGACCCTCCATCCCTTTCCTCCCAATGGATTGCAGGGGGGCGGGAAAAACGTCTGTCTCTCTCTCTAGGGAAGGCCACATTTCTGTCTGTCTCAGGGACTCTGTGACTTGTCCCGCAGGGCCGCCCTCCTGACCGGCCGGCTCCCGGTTCGGATGGGCATGTACCCTGGCGTCCTGGTGCCCAGCTCCCGGGGGGGCCTGCCCCTGGAGGAGGTGACCGTGGCCGAAGTCCTGGCTGCCCGAGGCTACCTCACAGGAATGGCCGGCAAGTGGCACCTTGGGGTGGGGCCTGAGGGGGCCTTCCTGCCCCCCCATCAGGGCTTCCATCGATTTCTAGGCATCCCGTACTCCCACGACCAGGTAGGAACCACCCGGGCCCTCAGCCACCCTCCCACCTCCCAAAGTCCCCCAGCCCTTGATGCTCCCGCAGCCCCACCTGCCAGCCCAGCCCTCACGGCAGCTGCCCGCCTCAGGGCCCCTGCCAGAACCTGACCTGCTTCCCGCCGGCCACTCCTTGCGACGGTGGCTGTGACCAGGGCCTGGTCCCCATCCCACTGTTGGCCAACCTGTCCGTGGAGGCGCAGCCCCCCTGGCTGCCCGGACTAGAGGCCCGCTACATGGCTTTCGCCCATGACCTCATGGCCGACGCCCAGCGCCAGGATCGCCCCTTCTTCCTGTACTATGCCTCTCACGTAAGTGATCTTGGCCCAACCCCCTGGCTGCCCGTGACCCCTACCCAGTGCTAACTCCAGTCTTTGCCCCCAGCACACCCACTACCCTCAGTTCAGTGGGCAGAGCTTTGCAGAGCGTTCAGGCCGCGGGCCATTTGGGGACTCCCTGATGGAGCTGGATGCAGCTGTGGGGACCCTGATGACAGCCATAGGGGACCTGGGGCTGCTTGAAGAGACGCTGGTCATCTTCACTGCAGACAATGGGTATGCCAGCAGGGCAGCTGGGTGCTCCGGCCCTGTCACGGGCCAGGGCCCTGGAGGCCTTGCAGTTCAGCTGCTTGCCAAGAACATAGTGGGTGAGGGGGTGCCAGGAGATGCTGGCCACGTTGCAGGGGCCCAAGGTGTAGTCAGGAGACACAGTGCACAGAGAGCTGGTCTTGGTAGGCCTGGGAGGTGCCGGGCTCATGCTGGGCACCTCCGGGCAAGCTTTGTGACTTAGAGGTGTGGGGCCACTGGTCACCCTCGGTGGCTCAGAGGCTGTGGCTCCATGGCTCATGAGCGCCTCCTGTGTCCCAGACCTGAGACCATGCGTATGTCCCGAGGCGGCTGCTCCGGTCTCTTGCGGTGTGGAAAGGGAACGACCTACGAGGGCGGTGTCCGAGAGCCTGCCTTGGCCTTCTGGCCAGGTCATATCGCTCCCGGTCAGTCCGCAGGCCCTCTCCTTGGAACCCTGGCCCCACCACCCCAACCTTGATGGCGAACTGAGTGACTGACCAGCCTCCTGCCCCCAGGCGTGACCCACGAGCTGGCCAGCTCCCTGGACCTGCTGCCTACCCTGGCAGCCCTGGCTGGGGCCCCACTGCCCAATGTCACCTTGGATGGCTTTGACCTCAGCCCCCTGCTGCTGGGCACAGGCAAGGTAGGGCCGGTGACCCCTGATCCCAGATCCTTGGCCCCTGTCCTGGCCTTCCCCTGGGGTGAGTGTGGGCAGTGCCTGAGAGTCTGTGCCTCAGTGCCTCCTGCACTGAGTGGCATCCAAGTGGCGCCACCTCTCAGGTTCCTGGGTGGGCAAGAAGCGGTGCACGTCCAGGGCCTCCCACCAGGGCTGGCAGCCCCAGGTATGTGCAGTGCTTGGGGCCTGCCCCGCCCCGTGACCCCTGACTCTGCCCCCAGAGCCCTCGGCAGTCTCTCTTCTTCTACCCGTCCTACCCAGACGAGGTCCGTGGGGTTTTTGCTGTGCGGACTGGAAAGTACAAGGCTCACTTCTTCACCCAGGGTAACCCCTCCCCGTGGATCCCTCCCCCCGACCTGCTGACCCCTCCCCGGAGCCCTAGATCCCTGGCCCCTCCTCTCGCCCTTGCCCTGTGCACAGAATTGGCCCCCTCCCCAGGCTCTGCCCACAGTGATACCACTGCAGACCCTGCCTGCCACGCCTCCAGCTCTCTGACTGCTCATGAGCCCCCGCTGCTCTATGACCTGTCCAAGGACCCTGGTGAGAACTACAACCTGCTGGGGGGTGTGGCCGGGGCCACCCCAGAGGTGCTGCAAGCCCTGAAACAGCTTCAGCTGCTCAAGGCCCAGTTAGACGCAGCTGTGACCTTCGGCCCCAGCCAGGTGGCCCGGGGCGAGGACCCCGCCCTGCAGATCTGCTGTCATCCTGGCTGCACCCCCCGCCCAGCTTGCTGCCATTGCCCAGATCCCCATGCCTGAGGGCCCCTCGGCTGGCCTGGGCATGTGATGGCTCCTCACTGGGAGCCTGTGGGGGAGGCTCAGGTGTCTGGAGGGGGTTTGTGCCTGATAACGTAATAACACCAGTGGAGACTTGCAGATGTGACAATTCGTCCAATCCTGGGGTAATGCTGTGTGCTGGTGCCGGTCCCCTGTGGTACGAATGAGGAAACTGAGGTGCAGAGAGGTTCAGGACTTGTACAAGATCACCCAGCCAGAAAGAGGTTGGGCTGGGATTTGAACCCTGGTGTCGTGGCTCTGGAAGCTGCCCTGGCGCCTTGGTGATCTGCGTGGGTCAGTGCACACAGGCACACGTCAGCCTCAAGGACATGGGCACATCTGTTCACAGGAGCAGCGCCACGTGCCTTTGAGTGCCAGGAACGGGGTGGGAGGGTGGGAGGGTGTGAGGGCCAGAAGACTCAGAAGATGCAAAGTGCCTGAGAGAGACGGGATATTCCCCCAGAAGAAGCATTCTTAGAGACACAGGCACTGGACCTCCTTGGTTCTTATAAGAAACCTGTCTGAAGCTGGGTGATGAGTTGCACACTCCAGGTGGGGCTAAGGGGCCTGGAGCCCCTGCTGGCTCCTAGGAAGGCACAGCAGCAGGCCCTGAGACGGCTCCTCTGGGGCCCCTCCACCCTCCCAGGCCTCTGCATTTCACCTGTGCCCACACTTCTGTCTCCTGCCTTCACCTTTTGACCCACTACTAACGATTCTCCACCCAGCAGACAAAGTGATCTCTTAAAAATATCTGTTGGCTGGGCACGGTGGCTCACGCCTGTAATCCCAGCACTTTAGGAAGCCGAGGCGGGTGGATCACCTGAGGTCGGGAGTTCGAGACCAGCCTGACCAACATGGAGAAACCCCATCTCTACTAAAAATACAAAATTAGCCAGGTGTAGTGGTGCATCCCTGTAATCCCAGCTACTTGGGAGTCTGAGGCTGGAGAATCACTTGAACCTGGGAGGCGGTGGTTGCAGTGAGCCGAGATCGCACCATTGCACTCCAGCCTGGGCAACAAGAGAAAAACTCTGTCTCAAAAAACAAAAAATCTGTTAGGCTGCACACGGCGATTCACTCCTGTATTCCCAGTGCTTTGGGAGGCTGAGGTGAGAGGATGCCTGAGGCCAGGAATTCAGACCAGCCTGGGCAACATAGTGAGACCCCAGCTCTAAAGATTTGTTTTTGTTTTTTTTTTTTTTTTTTTTTTTTTTTTTTTTTTTTTTTTGAGACGGAGTCTCGCTCTGTCGCCCAGGCTAGAGTGCAGTGGTACCATCTCCGCTCACTGCAACCTCCGCCTCCCGGGTTCCAGGGATTCTCCTGCCTCAGCCTCCCTAGTAGCTGGAACTACAGGTGTGTGCTGCCATGCCCAGCTAATTTTTTTTTATTTAATAGAGACAAGATTTCACCATGTTGGCCAGGCTGGTCTCAAACTCCTGACCTCAGGTGATCCACCCGCCTCAGCCTCCCAAAGTGCTGGGATTACAGGTGTGAACCACCACACCTGGCCAACAATATTTGTTTTAATTAGCCAGGCGTGGTAGCATTTGTCCTAGCAATTTGGGAGGTTGAGGTGGGAGAATCACTTCAGCCCACTAGGTCGAGGCTGTAGTGAGCTATAATTGTACCACTGCACTCCAGCCTCGGGGACAGAGTGAGACCCTGTCTGCAAATAAACAAATAAAACATCAGGCTGGGCTTGAGCATCTATTCCTGCTCAAAATTTCGCAGGCTTCTCAGAAGAAAATCCAAACCCCTTACAGTGACCCAGTTTGCCCTTGAGGCCTCCACCCACACCCCCTTCCCCCCAGTCTTAGGGGGTGGCCTGGCTGTTCCCTTCAACGGCAACGCTCTGCCTCCATTGTTGGCCTCCTCTGCAGGGAGGGACTGTCTGAGCACCTGCCCGTGTCTGTGCAGCATGGCACACTGACGTCAGGCCCACGTGCATGCCCAGGTGGCCAGTCACACGCCAGGTGCTCCCTCAGTGTTGGCCAAGTGAGAGGAGCACACCTTCCGGGCGTTCAGACACCTCCCCGTGGCAGACACCGTTCGTTGCTACCAAACAGCCACCTCCTTCCTAATGGGCTCCCATTTTTCAGTGCTGGGCAAAGGTCCCTTGATCTTGGAGTTGCAGCCTCTTTCTCTCCAAGGAGGGCGGTGACCAGCCTGAGCCAGTCAATCCAGTGATTGGTTCAGGAGTAGCCTGTGACCAGGAGTCCTGGTAGTGAACGACTGGGGCAGCCCTGGGGGTGAGGACCTTGCGCAGCCGTCACAGGCCCTGATTGGACACTGGGCAGCTGCTAACCCAGTGTCTCCAGCTGCCTACCTGGAGAGCTCCAAGCGTAAGAAAATAAACCCTGCCTGTTGAAGCCACTGCTAGTGAGGGTTCTGTTATTTGCAGCCAAAAGCCTTGCTGGAATGTGGCCTATGAATGGTTGTGTGGCGGGCACATGTGCCTGCGTGAGCCTGTGGTGTCAGACAGTGTGCTGAGGACTCTCCACGCAACCGTTTCATCCCTTTTCATCTGGTTTGAGGGCTGCATTGACCACACCCCAAATCCTGCTGTGTTTGGAATCACCCCCATAAGGTGGTGGTTTCCTTGGGGTGCCCAGCAGCCCCTGATGCTGGCATAAGGGGGGCCCTTGTGCACTTGTGGTCCGAGTGGAGGTGCTGGCCCCAGGTGGCGCTGTAGAAAGTGAAGCAGAGGTTCCTCTTCAGACTTTCCTCCCCATCTAGGAGTAAATAGTAACTTCTCTTAAAAGCAAAATTTATTCAAAGACCTGTACTAACATTCTTAAATAACTGCTAGCCGAATAAAGAACTCAATGTCCTTTATGTTCTTAGCTCCCACAATTTAGCCTAAATATCTGCCCTGGCATGCTTAAACTGGCCCAAGCAAGCATTACGTCACAGCCTGTTCCTCTTCCTTATTTGAAGGTGTTTTTACCTTTCTCATCATTCCACAAGTTACTTCCTCCTTCCTTTGTTCTCCTCTCTCTTTTCCTCTTTTAAAAAGTGCTAAGTTGCTAGCCAATCGGGACAAATACAGAACGTGAGGTCCCGTTCCAGCCGATGGAAACCGGACACGGCAGTAAGGTGGACGCATCAGGTTACAAATGACCCTGTCCCCTTTTGTTCGGTGTACTCTCACGGCAAAACTGCTGGCGAGTGTACCCTTTCTGCAGAAAGTATAAAAGAAAATTAAATTTATGTTCAAGTGCTGTTTCTTTACGGCACCGAGGAACAAGCATTTCAAACAGCGCTGTGGTTCAAGATGAGGGCAGAGAGGAACTGAACTGGAGGCATGATTCCAGTATCACACGAAAGACCAAACCCTCTAGCAAGAACTAAATGAATACTAACACCCAACCACAGTCTTCAGGCACCTCCTCCAGCTCTGCTGCTCCACTTCCTCTCACTTGGGTAGTGTGCATAACTGAGTTAATCCCACCCGTGTTTATGCATCAGCACCGTGCAGTGCTGGGCATGGGGTTGTCAGAGGAGACCCACTCTGCACTCACCGGGCTTACAGTCTAGCAAAGGAGATGAGCTTAATCCCGGGATGTCAGATGCACCTGAAATTTTCAGTGTGATTGAAGTCACTGCCTCTGGTAGGGTGGGGTGTGTGGAGTTGCCTGACCAGGGACACCAGAGAACCTGTGGGTGCTACAAATCTTCCAAATCTTAAGGGGTCATAACATGATGCATGCATATGTATAAAGCGATCAACCCACACTCGCAAGCTGTGCACACTTTATGACGTCATTGCGTATTTTCTATTTCAGTAACAATCTAACCATAATAAACGCTACAAACGAAGGGTACCTGGTCTTACAAGAACATAACCAAGAGGTGGGGGTGGAAAGATAAATGAGCTCTGAGGAGGGTGTTCAAATGCACTCTGCACCCAAGGATTTTTCCACTCCCCCATTCCGCTTTTGGTTTTGCTCTGATTTGTTTGTGTTCAGAAATGCTTTTCACCAGTTAGCTGTTTGAGCCGGATGCACCCTCCTCACACAGGCATGTACACGTATGCGTATGTGCACATGTGTATGCATACAGAAATACGCACGCATGCACACTCACATTCACGTGCACGGAGGCACATACACATGCATCCGGGGATACGTGCCCCCCGGGGACGTGCGCACGTGAACACACAAGGACTCACCCGTGCACACAAGCATGCATATACGTGCATATTTGCAGTGACATACACACTGTTACTGTTGATTTACAAAACAGCCCCTTTCCTGTGAGCCTAAGATAATCTATTCACCAGGCTGGCAGCCATCCATTCCCACAGAGCAGCTTCCTCAGGGAGCTCAGTGTCCTCTCGAAGGGGCTAAGAGTGTTTTGAAATGGACAGAACAAACAAACAAGTTGATTCTGTGGTTTCCCCTCAGGTGCGTTAGGAAGGAAGAGGGGATATCCGGCGCCCAAGTGATTGCGTGAACGACAGGGTAAGAGGGGGCTCCTGCAGGGAAACTCCCCTCCCCTCCCTGTGGCCCCTCCTTGGCTGTGTGCTCGTCTGTCCCCCAAGTGACCAGAAGGGGGAGCCCAGGGAACGTTTCAATGGAACAATGTTTAAATTCACCTCTGAATTTTTTTTTTTTTTTTTTGAGACGGAGTTTCGCTCTTGTTGCCCAGGCTGCAGTGCAATGGCGCGATCTCAGCTCACCGCAACCTCCGCCTCCCAGGTTCAAGTGATTCTCCTGCCTCAGCCTCCCGAGCAGCTGGGATGACAGGCATGTGCCGCCACACCCGGCTAATTTTGTATTTTTTAGTGGAGACGGGGTTTCTCCATGTTGGTCAGGCTGATCTCAAACTCCCGACCTCAGGTGATCCGCCTGCCTCGGCCTCCCAAAGTGCTGCGATTACAGGCGTGAGCCACTGTGCCTGGCACCTCTGAATATTTTTAATTACGAAAGTAATGCATATTCATTAGAGAAACTCAAGTAATGCCCGCTCATCTCAGTCCCAGGTAGCCAATGCTATCAGTTTAGGGTTTGGGGGGCGGGCACACACCACATTGTTCTCCACATTCATGCAAATTATGTATTTTGGCCCCAGGCGTTGATTCAACTCTAACCTCACCCCCTGCTGCACCCTGGACACTGCCTCTCAGCTGTCTGATGTGTCCCCTCCCTTTTGCAGCCCTGAGCCTGGTGCAGGGGGTCAGTAGTAATGAAGGGGGGAGTGCATTTATTTATGCCCCCTCCAGCCTCCTTGGCTCCTTTGTGTGAAGGCCGAGAGCCTTCCTTGTGGATGCAGCAACATGGTGAAACCCAGTCTCTACTGGAATACAAAAAATTGGCCAAGTGTGGTGGTGTGCGCCTGTAATGCCAGGTACTCAGGAGGCTAAGACAGGAGAGTCACTTGAACCCTGGAGGCGGAGGTTGCAGTGAGCCACGATTGTGCCACTGCACTCCAGCCTGGGCGACAGAGCAAGACTCTGTCTCAAAAAAAAAGAAAGAAAAGAAAAAAAGAAAAACAAAGAAAGAAACTGTGGCAGCCTTATTGCTGTTTAAGGAGAAAGTTTAAGTGGTCTGCATAGAAGATCAAACAAGCCAAAACATTTCCTTAACCCAAAGTCTAATCCAGAGCAAGGCCCTAATTCCCTCTGATTCTGTGAAAGCTGGGAGAGATGAGAAAGCTGCAGGAGAAAAGCTGGAAGGTAGCAGAGGTTGGTTCATATGGTTTAAGGAAAGAAGCTGTCTCCATGATGTAAAAGTGCAAGGTGGGGCAGCAAGTGCTGATGGAGAAGCTGCAGCAAGCTCTCCAGAAGATCCAGCTAAGGTAAGTGATGAGGGTGGCTACAGTAAACAATAGATCTTCAGTGTACGCAATTTTTTTTTTTTTTTTGGAGACGGAGTTTTGCTCTTGTTGCCCAGGCTGGAGTGCAGTGGCGCAATCTCGGCTCACTGCAACCTCCGCCTCCCGGGTTCAAGTGATTCTCCTGTCTCAGCCTCCTGAGTAGCTAGGATTACAGGCATGCGCCACCAGGCCTGGCTAATTTTGTATTTTTTGTAGAGATGGGGTTTCACCATGTTGGCCAGGCAGGACTTGAACTCCTGACCTCAGGTGATCTGCCTGCCTCGGCCTCTCAAAGTGCTGGGATTACAGGTGTGAGCCACCGCACTCGGCACCATCTGTGACTTTCATAGCTAGAGAGAAGTCAATGCCTGGTTTTAAAGCTTCAAAGGACAGTCTGACTCTCTTGTTAGGGGCTAATGCAGCTGGTGGCTTTAAGTTGAATGCTCATTTACCATTCTGAAAATCCCAGGGCCCTTAAGAAAGATGCTAGGCTGGGCATGGTGGCTCACGCCTATAATCCCAGCACTTGGGGAGGCCGAGGCGGGTGGATCACGAGGGCAGGAGATGGAGACCATCCTGGCTAACACGGTGAAACCCCATCTCTACTAAAATTACAAAAAATCAGCTGGGCGCGGTGGCGGGCACCTGTAGTCCCAGCTACTCGGGAGGCTGAGGCAGGAGAATGGCGTGAACCTGGGAGGCGGAGCTTGCAGTGAGCCGAGATCGCGCCACTGCACCCCAGTCTGGGCAACCGAGTGAGACTCTGTCTCAAAAAAAAAAAAAAAAAGAATACTCATGATTCACAGGAAGAGGTCAAAATATCATCATCATTAACAGGGCTTGAAAGAAGTTGATTCCAACTCTCATGGATGACTTTGAGGTGACAAGTCCAGTGGAGGAAGTAACTGCAAATGTGTTGAAAGTATCATAATAGCAAGAGAATTAGAGTTAAACGTGGGCCTGAAGATGTGACTGAATTGCTGCCATCTCACGATAAAACTTGAACAGATGAAGAATTGATTCTTATGGACAAAGAAAGTTTTTTTTAAATTTTCTTGTTTATTTATTTATTTATTTATTTAGGTAGAGATGGGGGTCTCACCATGTTGCACAGGCTGGTCTTGAACTCCTGGGCTCAAGTGATTCTCCTGCCTTGGCCTCCCAAATTGCTGGGATTACAGGCATGAGCCACCGTGCCTGGCTGAAAGTGGTTTCTTGAGATAGAATCTACTCTTGGTGAAGATGCTACGGACATTGTTGAAATGACAACAAGGGATTAGAATATTGCACAGGACCGAGTGTAGTAGCTCAGGCCTGTAATCCCAACACTTTGGGAGGCTGAAGTGGGAGGATCGCTTGAGACCAGGAATTTGAGACCTGCCTGGACAACATAGTGAGACCTCATCTCTCCAAAAAAACGTTGGCTAGGCACCGTGGCACTTGCTTTAGGTCCTGGCTACCCGGGAGGCTAAGGTGGGAGGATCACTTGAACCCAGGATATCGAGGCTGCAGTGAGCCATTATTGTACCACTGCACTCCAGCCTAAGTGACAGAACAAGACCCTGTCTCTTAAAAAAAAAAAAAAAGAATATTACATAAACTTAGTTGATAAAGCAGCAGCAGTGTTTGAGAGGGTTGACTTCAATTTTGAAAGAAGTTCTACTATGAATAAAATGCTATCAAACAGTGTCACATGCTATAGAGAAATATTTCATGAAAGAGTCAGTGTGGCAAACTTCATTGTCTTAATAAATTGCCACAGCTGCTCCAACCTTCAGCAACGACCACCCCGATCAGTCAACAGCCATCAACACTGACGCAGTACCTTCTACCGGCAGAAAGATTATGACTCACTGAAGGTGGAGATGATCACTGGCATTTTTTTAGCAATAAGGTGTTTTCTTTTTTTTTCAAAACAGAGTCTCGCTCTGATGCCCAGGCTGGAGTGCAGTGGCATGATCTTGGCTCACTGCAGCCTCCGCCTCCCGGGTTCAAGCGATTCTCCTGCCTTAGCCTCCAGAGTAGGTGGGACTACAGGTGCGTGCCACCACGCCTGGCTAATTTTTTTTTTTTTAAGACGGAGTCTTGCTCTGTCACCCAGACTGGAGTGCAGTGGCGTGATCTCGGCTCCCCAAGTAGCTGGGACTACAGGTGCCCGCCACCAGGCCCGGCTCATTTTTTGTATTTTTAGTAGAGACGGGGTTTGACCGTGTTAGCCAGGATGGTCTCGATCTCCTGACCTCATGATCCGCCTGCCTCAGCCTCCCAAAGTGCTGGGATTACAGGTGTGAGCCACTGAGCCTGGCCACGCCTGGCTAATTTTTTATATTTTTAGTACAGATGGAGCTTCATCATGTTGGCCAGGATGGTCTCAATCTCCTGACCTCATGATCCGCCTGCCTCAGCCTCCCAAAGTGCTGGGATTACAGGTGTGAGCCACTGAGCCTGGCCACGCCTGGCTAATTTTTTATATTTTTAGTACAGATGGAGCTTCATCATGTTGGCCAGGATGGTCTCAATCTCCTGACCTCGTGATCCCCCCGCCTTGGCTTCCCAAAGTGCTGGGATCACAGGCATGAGCCACCAAGCCCGGCCCTATTTTATTTTATTTCTTTTGAGATGGAGTTTTGCTCTTTTTGCCCAGGCTGGGGTGCAATGGCGCAATCTCGGCTCACTGCAACCTCTGTCTCCCGGGTTCAAGCAATTCTCCTGCCTCAGCCTCCCAAGTAGCTGGGATTACAGGCGCCTGCCACCACATCTGGCTATTTTTTTTTTTTTTTGTATTTTTAGTAGAGATGGGGTTTCACCATGTTGGCCAGGCTGGTCTCAAACTCCTGACTTCAGGTGATCCACCCACCTCGGCCTCCCAAAGCGCTGGGATTACAGTTGTGAGTCATCGTGCCCAGGCTCAATAAGGTATTTTCAAATTAAGGTATATACTTTAAAAGCTATTGCACATTCAATAGACTACAGTATAGTGGAAACATAACTTTTTTTTTTTTTTTGAGACAAGTTCTCACTCTGTCATCCACACTGGAGTGCAGTGGTGTAATTACAGCTCACTGCAGCCTCAACCTCCCAAGCTCAAGCAATTCTCTCACCTCAGCTTCCTGAATAGCTGGGGCTACAGGCACATGCCACCACACCCAGCTAATATATATATATATATATAAAATATGCATGTATTTATATATATTATATACATGTATATCTATATACTACATACGTGTATATCTATAAAATATACAGGTATACAATATATATACAGACCGGGTTTTTTTATGTTGTCCCTGCTAGTCTTAAACTCCTGGGCTCAAGCGATCTGCTTGCGTTGGCCTCCCAAAGTGCTGAGATTACAGGCATGAGCCACCATTCCTGGCCAACATAACTTTTATATACGCTGGAAAACAGAAAATTTGTGTGGCTCACGTTGTTGCAATCTTAGTGTGGTGGTCTAGAACCAAACCTGCAAAATCTCCAAGGTATGCCTGCAGCGACCTCTGCTATTTTGCTTTTATCTTTTGCCTTAAATTCTTCTTGATTCCCCTAACCTCCCTCTGCCTTCAACCCTCAAGTAGAAGGGAGACTGGAAAAAATACACCAAAATATTAGAAACAGTTATCTCTGGGCCATAAAAATACAGTTGATTTTAGCCTTTCTTCTATCATCTGCAGTCTCCAAAATGTCTATGATATGTGTTACTCTTTATAGGGAACGTAATTTTTTTTTTTTTCTTTTAGACAGAGTCTCACTCTGTCTCCCAGGCTGGAGTGCAGTGGTGCGGTCTCCACTCACTGCAAGCTCCGCCTCCCGGGTTCACGCCACTCTCCTGCCTCAGCTTCCCGAGTAGCCGGGACCACAGGTGCCCACCACTATGCCCAGCGAATTTTGTTTTTGTATTTTTAGTAGAGACGGGGTTTCACCGTGTTAGCCAGGATGGTCTCGATCTCCTGACCTGGTGATCCACCCGCCTCGTCCTCCCAAAGTGCTGGGATTACAGGTGCAAGCCATCACGCCCAGCCAGGGAAAGTAATATTTTTAAAAATAGGGAAATCCTACTTTTATAGTGTTTATAAAAATAATAACTTACTCAAGCACTACCCTTGGCCTGTCTGACTGGCAGATTCATTTAAGCCTTATGATAACCTTATGGGGTGGTATTTTTATTGTAGCCAAAATAACTTTTTTGTTTGAGTTTGATTAATTTATCTTAACTTTTTTATCTTTAGTTTTTCTGTGGATATTTCCATTTGCACTTGGAGGTCTCTAATAAGTAGCAAATAATACTTCAAAAAATTAAGACATATTTGCTGCAGGAAAAAAAGGAAGAGAAACACCCTCAGCTCAACTTCAGCAAAAATGAGGTGGTTTTTTTTTTTTTTTTTTTTTTTTTTTTTTTTTTTTTTGAGACGGAGTCTTGCTCTGTCTCCCAGGCTGGAGTGCAGTGGCGCGATCTTGGCTCACTGCAAGCTCCGCCTCCCAGGTTCATGCCATTCTCCTGCCTCAGCCTCCCGAGTAGCTGGAACTACAAGCGCCTGCCACCACACCCGGCTAATTTTTTGTATTTTTAGTAGAGATGGGGTTTGACCGTGTTAGCCAGGATGGTCTCGATCTCCTGACCTCATGATCCGCCTGCCTCAGCCTCCCAAAGTGTTGGGATTACAGGCATGAGCCACTGCGCCCGGCCAAAAATGACTTTTAACATTTTTTGTGTTTCAGCATTTTTCAACATATAGTTTCTAGAATGCTACATATGACCCTGCCTATTTTCTTTCTTTCTCTTTCTTTCTTTCATCTCTCTCTCTCTCTCTCTCTCTCTTTCTCTCTCTCTCTCTCTCTTCTTTTCTTTCATTGTGGTTACAGGGTCTTGCTCTTTCCAGCCAGAGTGTGGTGGCATGATCATGGCTCACTGCAGCCTCAACCTCCTAGGCTCAAGCTATCCTCCTCCCTTACCCACCCAAGTAACTGGGACTACAGGTGTGTGCCACCACACCTAGATAATTTTTGTATTTTTTTTTTTTTTTTTTTGTAGAGATAGAGGTTTCGCTTTGTTGCTCAGGCTGGTCTCGAACTCCCAGACTCAAGGGATCTGCCCACCTTGGCCTCCCAAATTGCTAAGATTACACAGTAGCATGAGCTGCTGTGCCCAGAAATTTATTTCCACTTAATAGCATAACAGAAATTTTCTGTGTAATTACAAACATTGGAACTTTTTTTCACATCTACCCAATATTTCAATTAGGTAAATATACCTTAATCAATTAACCCTATTGGTCAATATTCAGATTACTTTTATGCTTACATTATTTCAAAGAAGAATGCAATAAACACTTTTCTGTAGAACGCGTTTTATTTAGAACGCCATCCTTGGGCTAGATTGGCGGAAGTTGGAGGCGTCATGCAGCGCCTCCTGCCTGGGAGCCAGGCGATCCGCCAGGTTCTGGGAGGACCTAAGGTCAACAGCCACGCCTGCTCTCTGGGCTCACAGTCAGCAGCCGCTACCAGGAGAGCAAGTCCTCAGAAGGCCCGAGACCAGGGCCCGGGAGCGCCCACAAGGACGGGAGGTCACCCAGTGACAAACAGGGAAGGGCAGCAGGTGCGCCCAGGAACCCAGAGGCTCCCAGAGCAGAAGTGGGATGCAGGGGTGGGGGCGGGTCATGCTGAGGTTCAACAGGGACCTGCTTCCTGGTTCAACAGGGAGCTGGCCAGAGAGAGGGATCTGCTGAGGCTTCTGTTTAAAAACCCTGGCCTGGGTGTGGGTGCAAGTGGATTTGCAGGTGCAGTGAGGCAGCGGCCGGAGCAGGCTGTTGCACGAAGACCCAGGAAAGTCAGGGTGGTTTGATCCAGGCAGAAGAGGGGGAAATGGAGCCTGGGGCAGACGTAAAGGTGCTGGGGTGAGGATAAGGGTGACAGGAGGGAGGAGTCTGGGGTGACCAAGGCCTGCAGCTCAGGTGACTGGGAAAAAACATAAAACAGAACACAGATGAATGCAGGGGTCGGGACGAAGGCTCCTGTGAGTCTGAAGTGACTGTGAGTGGCACCCTCTGGCCAGCCACAGTGGCTCTCACAGCTCATTCTGCAGAGCACCGGCCCAGTGATGAGCCGAGGAAGTGCCCCTGGAGGTCAGCTGGATCTGCCCAGTGGTCTGCACAGGGGGCGGCTGCCAGGGGCCTGAGCACAGGGAAACCCTCGAAACTGTGGGAGGGATGAAGCCAGAGAGGTAGACCCCAGAACCGACCAAGCCCAGCATGGGGCGTGGAGGGCGGCCAAGCTCAAGAAGACCATGAGATTGGAGAAGGAGCTGCAGAGAGGTGGAAGGCAGACAGGCGAAGGACTCACGAGCACGTCCAACAGCCGTCCTAAGGGCCGGCTGGAGGGAAAGAGACCTGAAGACACGTTGGGGGGCGGGGCCGGGCAGGGGCGGGGCCAGGCCGGGCAGGGGCGGGACGGGGGCGCCGGAGGGCAGGGCTTGGAGAATTCTCACCTGAGTGGAAGAGCAGAGGGAGGAGGTGGGTGGGTGGCAGCGGTTTCCAGGCAGCAGCTACAGGGGACTGAGGGCCACACCCCGAATGCCCTAGCCCAGGGGGCACAAGTTTCAAACGTACACACCCAGTGGGGCTATCTGCCTCTTTACAGCTTTATCTCAATTAGTAGGAAAGTTTTCTCATAAACGTTCTGCGTTTCCGTCGTGCCACTGGTCTGCGTCCTCGGTCTCTCTGGGGCCTCAGGTCTGTGCGCTGCACACGGGCTGAACCTCTGGATCATGATGCACTTCCTAACACTGGGCAGCTATTTCTCTGCTTGTTGGCTCTGTGAAGACGTGTTTTTTACGGACAGCACTTTCTAATGTTTATGTAGTAAGTTTGTGTATACTTCCCTTAGCTCACTAAGGAACCTTCAACTGTTGTCTTCCTGGTGTTGCACGAATCCTGGGCTCAGACAGAGGGACCCCGGCCATGCTGACCCCTGCCTGGGAGGCGGGCTCACCCAGGAGGGCCTGGGAGGGAACATTGCCGGGCATCTGCAGTCACCTAAGCACATAGTGAAAAAGTCACCTATTTTCTTCTGGCTTTCTCTGGAGAATTTTTTAAATATCCATTTTAAGATCTAAGTAGATTGTTTTTCTTTTCCTTTTTCTGAGACGGAGTCTCCCTCTGTCGCCCAGGCTGGAGTGCAGTGGTGCAATCTTGGCTCACTGCAACCTCCGCCTCCCAGGTTCAAGCGATTCTCATGCCTTAGCCTCCTGAGTAGCTGGGATTACAGGTGTGCGCCAGGACACCTAGCTAATTTTTGTATTTTTTGTGGAGATGGGGTTTCACCATGTTGGCCAAGCTGGTCTCAAACTCCTGACCTCAGGTGATACGCCCCGGCTCGGCCTCCCAAAGTGTTGGGATTACAAGCGTGAGCCACCGTGCCCGGCCAGATTGTTCTTCAAGGAGTTCATGCCCCCACTACACACTGACCTGAGCCGTGCTGGCCCCCAGTCCGTGCACGTGGAAAGGACACCCCATTGCACAGCCTCGGATTCCTCTGTGGCCAATCGAGTGTATCTAGGGAGAATTCCCAAGGGTGCTTCTAGATACGGCACCTCAGATAAGGCCCCAGAGCAGCACCGCAGGGACCCCCGGCACAATTTCGGAAAGAGCTAAAAGGGTGAGATTGCCACAACACTCCCGCCACTGGGGACTCTGTCCCTACCACAATGGGCAGCCCCTGGGCACCTGGCCCCATGTCTTAGCACCCTCTAGAAACAGCCAATGTCACACCAAGCAGAGAGTTTATTGAGGCCATGGGCAGGGCCCAGGAACACAGCACGGGGCGTGCGTGGGGTGGATGCACGCTGGACTGCAGGGGTGCGCTAGCAGCGGCAAGCGGAGGGGTATTGGGGGCCCAGGAGGGCCCCCCCTCCTAGCAGCGTCTAGGGGCTTCAGGTGAGCATCAAGAACCACTCCTAGCCTCCGCAGGGCTCTTTTGGGAACCCCTCCCTGCTTCCCCCTGAGCTCCATGTGGGGTGGGGCTGGGGCGAGGGGGCCCCTCTTGTCCCTGTGGTCAAGGATGGGATGATCCCTTGAGATTCACTATAAAAATTAAAATTCCCTTATAAATCGCAGGGGAGTGGCAGGAGGGCATCACTTGGAAGCCGACATTACCTGTCCCTAGAGCCGCACCTCCTCCACACCCCCGAAGTTCTGACCCCAAAGTGAAGAATAGAGGATAAGGTTTGCAGGCACAGAGAGGGGCAGAGACACCAGGAGAGAGAAAAGGGAGACTGGGAAGGGAAGGAGGAGGACAACACAGAGAAAGAACGGATCTGAGGAAAAGCAGGGGCACGGGGGCTCCACTCCCCCGCAGCCCCAACAGCTGCGCCCTGGGGACCGAGGACGAGAGTTCCCAGCCCGCAGACCCCCACAAGCGTAAGGTCCCATGTCCCCCCAATCCAGTCCTTGCCAAAGCCATGGTGGCCTCTTGAGACATCCTCAGCCCCAGCTGCGCCTGGAGCAGACGGCCAGGAGACAGAGCGGTGGGCAGGCTACTCCAGGTAGATGTCCTCCGTGGGGCAGGCGTACGCCAGGTGCTCTTGGTAGTACTCCAGGAAGGCGCGGCTGGGGAAAGACGGTCCTCCACCAGCCACTCAGGGCCGGTCCTCAACCCCCAAACTGCCTTCCACAGAGCCTCTGAGCTCTCCCTCCTTCCTCCCTCTGCAGCCATCCATAACCCCCCACCCAGGCATGGCCATGTCACCCCCAAGTGTGACCCTCAGCTCTCCTGGCCCAGCAATTCTACCCCTGCCAGAGTGCCTGGGCCATGTGTCTGTGCCTGTTCCCACCCCATGCCCAGCACCCCAAACTGTCACCCACCACTGCCCTCTCTACACAGCACATCTGGTTCTCCTTCCCCAGACCTCCCCTGCCAGGCTCCTGCCCCCACCTGCTCACCTCCGCTCCCCACCTCCGTAACCCTGCACCCATTCTGCACCCACACCCTGGGGCCCCACTCACCCCACACTCTGCGCCACCGGCCTCATGGACTCCTGGGAGACAAAGACGTGGCAGGCGAAGCGGCTCAGCAGGGGGTGTTTGGTGATGAAGCCGAAATAGCTGCGGGCAAGTCAGTGTGGAGGGCACGTCAGAGCCCTGGCCCAGCCTTGGCCACCCCACAAATGATGTAGAGAGAAGAGGCAGGAACAAAGGGCTTGGGGAGAGGGTAAGGGACAGGAGTGTGGGGGTCGCACAATTTCAAGATCTGAAGTTGTCTTTTTTTGGTTTCAGCCCAAGCACAGGGCTGGGCACCTACCAAGAGTTCACGCTCTGAGTTAATTCCATGATGACCAGGGGCGTCCACTCTCCCTTCTCTGAGCCGGTGCTGCTACCCTCTGTGGCCCTATTCAGGGCCTGCCCCAGGACCACAGAGCAAGGCCTCTGCCTGGCTACTGGAGACCATATCTCCTGCCAACTCAGGCCTCCTCCTGCGGGCCTAGCAGACTGACAGCCCCTTGCCCAGCTCCGAGGTGGGGCTGGACGTTACCCCTGGTCTGTAAAACCCTCTTCCGGTCTACCCCTCGCTCCCACTGGAAAGCAGCTCCTTGCGGGGCCTCGCTCATGGAGTCACTGCCCAGCTCCTCCACCCAGACATTAGCAAAAATCAAAAATCGTCGTCCAGAGGGAGAGGCAGGCAGAGTTCTGCAGCAGGACGCTGCCCCACCCCCACCCCTGAAACTGGCCGACCCGTCCATTCCCCCATGGCTTCGGGGCTTTGCGATTCCACCAAATGGGAAGCCACATGATGGTCTGCTTGCCAGGACAGTGTGTGCACGCTGTCCACAGACAGAGCACAGGGCCCGCCTCAAATGCCGCGTTCAAGTCATGATGGTAATAAGCGCCGACCCACAGATCTGGCTTCCTGCATTACTCAGGCACCATCCTCTGCCCTTTCCATTAACTCACAGAAGCCTCACAACAGCCCTCTGAGGTAGGGCCCTGATGGAGAGCTAGGCACAGAGGTTCAGGAGCTTGCCCAGGACACACAGGCAGGATGGGCAGCCCTGGGAGAAAAGGCTACAGTCTGTGATCCCAACACCAGACATCCTAATGCCAGATCCCAACACAGCACACCCCACGCTCTCCTGACCTACCACCACCGCCATGAAGAAACGAGTTCATCGTTCACCTCACACGGTTTCGTCCGTGCCTCCTCGTGGCAAGGGACCGGGGACGGGGGGTCTGGGGTGACAAATATTAGGAAGGTCTGGGCCAGGGCAGCAGCTCCTCCACCTCCTCCCACACCCCTGCCACATCTTGACTCCAAACCCCAAACTCGACTGACCACCTTCCTCTCACGAAATTCTAGCTGGGGCCCTGTCCAGCCTGAGACCTGAGCTTCACCCAGTTTCCTTCTGATGAGAAATTTGGGTCATTCTTCCTCTCCTGGCAGCGTCCGCTGTCCCAGTGACCCCAGAGCTGTCCCCACTGTCTGGTCTGCGCCCCGTCCGCTGTCCCAGTGACCCCAGAGCTGGCCCCACCGTCTGGTCTGCGCCCCGTCCGCTGTCCCGGTGACCCCAGAGCTGGCCCCACTGTCTGGTCTGCGCCCGTGCCCACTGTCCCACCTCTCCACCCCAGAGCTGTCCCTGCTGTCTGGTCTGCGCCCCTGCCCGCTGTCCCACCTCTCCACCCCAGAGCTGTCCCTGCTGTCTGGTCTGCGCCCCGTTCGCTGTCCCGGTGACCCCAGAGCTGGCCCCACTGTCTGGTCTGCGCCCCTGCCCACTGTCCCACCTCTCCACCCCAGAGCTGGCCCCGCTGTCTGGTCTGCGCCCCTGCCCGCTGTCCCACCTCTCCACCCCAGAGCTGTCCCTGCTGTCTGGTCTGCGCCCCGTTCGCTGTCCTGGTGACCCCAGAGCTGGCCCCACTGTCTGGTCTGCGCCCCTGCCCACTGTCCCACCTTTCCACCCCAGAGCTGGCCCCGCTGTCTGGTCTGCGCCCCTGCCCGCTGTCCCACCTCTCCACCCCAGAGCTGGCCCCGCAGTCTGGTCTGCATCGCTGCCCGCTGTCCCACCTCTCCACCCCACTGAGCAGCGTTTCCGCATGGATCCCATCAGACCATCTCTGCACTCGGCGGGGACAACACAAAAGGGCTCCGCACCTTCCAGCAGGCAGCACCCTCACTCTCGACCACAGGGAGAGTCCACAAGGCCCCCAAGATGCACTGACGTCTGTCCCACGCCTCAGTCCTGGCAGCACCGTGCCCTGCTGTGTCTTGCCTGTCTGTGAGCCTGCTTCCTCCAACTCCCCGCAAGTCCTTTCCAGCCTCTGGCTGGCTCTGCCTCTCTGGTTCCTCCCAGATCTCCTTCCTCTAGGGTGCTGGGACACAGAGGGCAGGGGCCTGTGCCTGGAGGGAAGCTGGCAGCCCCCCTTGGCCTGCTGCTCCTATGCCAGCACCTCCTCCTCCCCTCCTCCCCTCACCCTGCCTGGCCATTCCCCTCTCGTCTCAGTGATCTACCTGCTCTGACCTGGTATCTTCCCTCCAGGTCTCCCTCCTAAACTCCAGACCCATGGGACCAACGGCCACTTCAGTCTCACCGTTTGTGATTGATCCCGCATCCCCTCTCGGTGTGTGGGCTGCAGTACAACCATCCCCCAGGGAGACGTCACCCTGGTCTCTTCCAGGTCACCCTCTACAGCCGGTCAACCTAGGTCCTGCCTGTACTGCCTCTTCAGTGCCTCTTGCATCTGCACACTTGGTCTCAGGACATAGCACCTGTATAACCTCAGCAGCCCCCAGGTCCCCTGTGTCACCTCCTTCCATTAGGAGCCTTCTATGGCCTCATTACCAGCAAGATTAAGTACAGCTCCTTGGCATAATCAAAAGGGTCCAGGTCTTCCCCGGCATTTCTAGCTGCTCCCCTTACACGCGGGCCCCAGAGCCTATATAGCCCCCGACCAGTGCATCCCACACCCTTGGCTCAGCTAGACCCCACCAGGAAGATCCACTTCCCCACCGCTGTCACCTGCTGTGTTTCCAGGCTGGCCATCCTGAGCCCCAGGCCCACTCAGGCGTCCTCTGCACCCACACAGGCTTCTCACATCCTTCGCCCGTGTGCCTCTCTCCACCCAGACTGGATGCAAGCCTGTCTGACCCACGCCTCCTGAGTCCAGCTCAGAGCAGGCGCCACTGCAGGCTCAGCTCACAGAGCTAAGTGGGTGCAGGTGGAGCTCTCAGGGCTGGGCACGGGCAGCCCTCAGGGTCTGTGGGGACTCAGGGGGCGGTTGGACTCTCAGGGTTTGTGGGGGCGGTTGGGGGACTCGGGGACGGTCAGACTCTCACCAGCTGTTGCGGGGATGGCAGCCGCAGAAGGAGATGTTCTTCATCTGGAAGAAATGGCTGCAGCGCTGGAACTAGAGCAGAGGTGGGCAGAAGTCCCTGTGTCAAAGGAGGCCTGGCGCCACCCCTGCCTCCCACCTACTGGACACCCCTGCCAGCCTGGCCCCGTCGGACTCCGTGGCCTAACCCTATCCCCCAGTCCCCGGTCCCCAGTCCCCCACACTCCCACCTCGGGCCCTCCTCCGCTCAGACTCAGCTTGACCCCCCGAAGAGAGATCTCGAGGTCACAGGAGGCAGGAGGGCGCAGGTGGACGGTCAGTTTCCGGGCAGTGGCAATCTACAGAAGAAGTTGGGGGAGAAGAGGGTCTTGAGGAGCCCACAAGGGCCTTTCTTTCCCCTTGGTGGGACTACGCCTCTGCTCCTTTTAGCTTATGTTTGAGGACACACATGCTGAGGACCCTGAGATGCAATTCTGGAAGACATAAGGGGTGTGGCCTTGGCCACTCCTCAGGCTCAGGAGGAGCAATCGCCTCTCTGCAGTCAGCTTGCTTCATCTTCCTTCTGCTCCTCCAGGCAGGCTGCTGCGCTTGGCTCAGGAGCCAGGAACAGAGACCTCACCCGCCCTGGGCTGCTCTGCCCTGCTCCCTACTGCCCCCCAGCCTCAGCCTCAGTACTGGTGCCTGGGCAGGTGCTCACTAAACGTCCACTGAGTGAGTGGATGAGTAGAGGGCTCCCAGGGAAGGGGCTGTGAGGGCTGGTCTTGATTCCAGATGGGAAGAGGAAGGGCTGATGGCAGTCGGGGCCACCTGGAAGATCTGTGGCCCAGAGACCCAGAGGTGATGAGGGACAGCTGCTGTGCTCTGCCCTAGACTCACCTGCTCAGGCCTCTGAACCAGGGCCTGGGGTACCCACCCCGAGCTCCCCCTGCAGCATCCCCCAGACCCTCCCTGGAGGAAATCAGACCTCAGACCTTGGAGCCTCAAGCCCTGTGCCAGCCTGCAGTGCTGGTGTGGCCGCCAAGCGGACCCTCAGCCTGCACTTGCCCGGCCTCCACACTGACCTTCTGCATGGCTGCACACAGGATGCCGTTGCCCTGGTGGCAGGGCACCTCCACGGAGCCCAGGAACTGCACGTCAAAGCGCTCCACCCAGCAGGGGCTCCGCTTACTCCCTGGGGAGCGGGGCACAGAGGGCCCAGGTCAGGCAGGGGCACAGGGGAGGATCTGGGGTGAAAAGCCTCCCCTCGGGGTTGGGACCTCACCCAGCAGGTCCTTGGCAGGGCCGGGCACCGCATGGGCGTAGAAGGCAGGAAACACACCGCGCTCCCCCGTGCGCATGTTGAAGCCACGGAACCAGAAGTCGTCCTCCTCGGCCTCCACCAACACAGGGTCATCCACATCCAGCTCCAGCTCGTCTGGATGCCGCGGGATGAACCTGCCGTTGGGGGAGAGGTCACTGGGGAGGGGGGCGGGATTGACGGTCGTGTCCACTGGCGTTCCGTGATGGCAGGGACTGAGGCTGGGGCCACCGCCAGCAAGGAGGGAGGCCGTACCTGAACACAGCCCGGTGAGTCTGCTCTCGCTCCTCGCCGTTGACCAGACAGGAGAAAAGGCCAAAGGACTCGGTGCCTGGGAGACCCGGCAGGACAGAGGCGGGGGAGACAGGGAGACAGAGTCAGAGTAGTGCTTAGAGGCCTGGCCTTGGGCAGAGGCCAAGTCCCCTCCACAGTCCGGTGTAGGTGTCCTACGAGCGGGAAGGAGCTGAGGCAGAGCAGGCCACCTCATGCCATGTCCTGGGTGGGAGAGGGCACCCAGCCCTGACCACAGCCAGACCCTCAGGTGGCCCTGGGCACTGTGGGGGACCCTGGGACTGGGGCCAGGGAGTCTGCACCTTCCTCTGGGCCACCCCCCTTTTCCCCACCTCTCACTCACTGGAGGACCGAGATGTGCTGTTGACGAAGACATTGAGGAACTTCTTGGAGAAAGTGAGGTCAGGGCTGTCCGGCGAGGTGTCCCCCGAGACCTGACCGCCGCCTAGCAGCGCCGCGCCCGCCTCCTCCTCGCTGGCCTCCCCGCCGCTGTCCTCTTCGCTGTCGTGGCCCAGCCCAGCACAGCGCCGCAGGCTCACCAGCTCCAGCTGCGTGTGCTCATCCACCACCAGCGTGTACTTGACCGCGTCGTACACCAGCGACGCGTCCCGCGGCGCCGAGGGGCCCGTGCCCCTGCCCCCGGGGGACCCCGCACTGTCCTCGGCATCCTCCTCTTCCTCGTCGTCCTCTTCGTCCTCCTCCTCGGAGCAGGCGGCGGAGCAGGCTCGTCCCGGGCGGGCGGCGCGGCCGGGCGCGGCCCACAGCGGCGTGATGGTGTCACGCGTGGGGTTGCTGAGGAATAGGCAGGGCCCGGGCTGCGCGGGGCCGGGTCGAGGCGCGGCGGGCGCGGGCGGCGGCGGCGCGCACAGCGTCTCCATGTCCACCAGCTCCACGCCGCCGGGCCCCGCGGCCGCCTCGGGGTCCTGGGAGTCCTGGGCGGCCCCGCCGGCCGGCGACACGGGCTCCCCGGGCGGGCGCGGCGCAGGAGACAGGCACTGGCCGGGGCAGCGGATGGGCGAGGAGCCCTCGGAGATCATGCGGCTCACCAGGTTGCTGAGCAGCCAGGGCGAGTCCGCGTCCTCGCTGAGGTCCGGCTCCGACTCCGACCCCGACTCGTACTCGCTGTTGGTGTCGTCGGGGCCCACGGGCAGGAAGGCGGGGCGGCGCGGGGGTTCGCGCGGGGGCTCCGGCTCCGAGGCGGGCGACGAGGCCTCCTCGATGGAGTTGGTGAGGTGCGAGGAGCGGCCGCTGCTGCTGCTTCCGCCATCGCTGCTCAGCTCCAGCTCCGTCTCCGAGATGGACGAGATCATGCGCCCCAGGCGCGCGCCGCCCGCGTCCTCCGAGTCGGAGCCGGGCGAGGACAGCTCCTGGCTGCTGCGACGTCCCCCGCGGCCGCCGCTCGAGCGGCTTCTCAGGTCAGCCTCGATGCCGGGATCTGAGGAGGGCGAAGTCCCCCCTGGCGCAGGGGGTTCCGCAGGCCGGTTCCCTTCGCAGTCGCAACCCGGGCGCACTGGCGACTGCGCCCCGCCGGGCCCGGTGTCCGTGGCAGGGAGGGGGCCCGGGAGCTCTGCTGGGCAGGGAGGTGGGGTCACCCTCTCTGCACCACCCAGGCCTCTTCCAGCAGCCAGTCCATCCTCCCTGCCCTCCTCCCCCGCTTCCCCGCGCCCCGCGGGCCCACCACCCCTCACCTCTGAGGGCCTCCGGGGCGGGTGAGCATAGCGCTGTCTCCTGCCAGGAGGCCGGACGCACCAGGTCAAAGCCTCCGTTGTTGTTTAGGGAGTCCTGGGGTGGAGATACATGACGGCGGTCCTGAGGAGGGCCAGCTCCCAGGGGGTGAGCAGGGCTGGCTGCAGCCCAGGTGCTATGAACCCAGGCTCAGCTCCAGGGAGCTGTGGGTCCGGGCACTCACCTGGGCCCCCAGTGTGGTCAGACGGAGGGTGGTGGGCCGGTGCTTGTGGGGCTCCTCCACGGAAGGGGAGGGGATAAGGGGCCCGGGGGCAGGTGCCTCTGAGCCAGGGTCTCCTCCCTCCTGGCCTTCCCCATCTCCCTCCTCCTCCTCCTCCTCCTCTTCCTCGTCCTCATCGTCCTCCTCTTCATTGTCATCGATCATCTCAAACTCCTGGAAGTCATCCTGGAAGGAGCAGATGGGGTGCGGCTGCTCCGAGCGCCCCAGGGAGAGGCTGTCCTGCAGGACGGAGGGAGATAGCAGGGCTGGGCCAGAGGGCAGCAGTAGCCCAGGGGCCCAGGTGCTAGGAGAAGGGAAATCGGGGAGCATCAGTCAAAGGAGAGCCCCTTCCAGCTCACTCTGCCCCTCTGTCTACAGGGCGATGTTTTCAAAATCTGCCTAACACACATTGGGATCACTCCAGTTCTTGGGAAGGGCCTAAACTCTACAGCTGAATGACAGGGATTCTCAGAGCAGCCCCAGCCCCACTTTCAGACTCATCTAACTGCAGAACCCCATCACATTTGACACCAGCACTGTGTTCCCTTCGCAGCGTTTTAACACAACTTACAGTTACTGGACATGGTTTTTGGTCTGTTGCAAGCCCCACCAGGGCAGGGTCATGTCCATGTTATGCACTGTTGCACCCGCCCCCAAGAACAAGACCTGGGGCTCAGCGGATGTTCAGTAAACATCAAACAGATGCAGAAATGGAGAGACAGCCTCTGCACTCTGAGGATTCACCAACTTTGCGCCAACCCCAGGGCCATTGGCACAGTTATTCCCCATGCTGGCACTTCCTCTCCTCCATTCCCTCCTACCTACCCCATCTGCCTGGCTCTGCTAACCTCAGGGCATGGTTGACATTTCCTCTGGAAATTCTCCCTGATTCCTTCAGTGTGGATTGGGTTCCCTTCCCCCTCGTGGAACTTATGTCCCTGTTGGAATGCAGCCCTTGACACGTGGGCAGCCATTGTCCCTTACAAGTCTTTCTCCCCTACTAAGTTGCAGCTCCAGAGAGCAGCTGTCCTGTTCCACTCCCAGCACCCAGAAGCCCCCAGTACTTGCCACATGGCAGTTGCTCAGAAATGTTCTTCAATAAATGAAAGCAGAAATGTGGAGAGACAGGGAGGAGGAGAAGCAAGAGATGGACGAGAAAAGATTTCAGCAGGGGGAGACATGAAACAGACAGATGGGAGCTGCAGACGAGGGCACAGGGCTGCAGAGGGGACAAGGTTGTGATGGCAGCTGCCAGGGATTAGATCTTTCTGGGAGTGATCTGAGGACAGAGGGCACCCAAAGCAAAGGAGCACCTCCCTGCCCCGGGCTGGCCACCGATGGGGTCGGGGAGAATGCTGGGGAAGGCCCTGCGTGGAGGCCTGCAATGTGTTGGAATAAGAGAGAGTTGATACCAAGGAAACCTCAAGGGTTAAGTGGGGAGGAGCCATCAGAGGAGTCCCCGGTTCAAGGCTGAGCTCACACCCACCCTAAAACCCCAAGTGAACGCTAAGAAGAACCTAATGAGGCCCTCCCTTGAGCTGGATCTGTGTCCCCAACTCTTCTCCCACCTTCTCACAGTGGTCTGAGTCGTAGCTGAGGCCCAGGCCACAGTCATCAGTGATCTCAGACAGATCTTCGTCGTCAAATTCTTCCAGGCTTATGTCCTGGGGAGGCCTGGAAAGGAGACCAGGGTCAGAGAGCCACCAACCCTGGACTCCCTGCCTGGCAACTGGCCCTGAGGAGGGGCAGAGGGAGGCGTCAGCTCCTACACCCAGTGGTTTCCACAGCCCCCAGCTCTCGGAACACATCCTGCCATCATCTTGACCCCCAAGCTCTGCTCGCCTGTGGATCCCCTCCCCCATCTGAGCCAGGCCTGCCCGGAGGAGCCAACCCTGCCCCCACCCCTCCCACCCCGCCTCCCTGGAGAGCCAGCAGCCTCTCCTCCCTCCACTCGCAGCTCCAGGCCCCTGGGGTCAGGGTCTTGCAGAGCAGGGGAGGGGGAGCTGCAACGCGGCAGCGGCAGATGGGGAGGGGTCGCTCCTGCTCTGGGAAGAGAGTCTGGCCTGTTTGTCTCCCCCTCTCCGGCGGAGTGAGGCCTAAACCCAGAGGCCCAGCGTCCTCCCAACCCCAGTCCCTTCCCGCAGGGCTCCGGGCTTGATTTCCACTCTCTCCCGGCCGGGCCCTATCGGCCAGGTCTGGCGTCCACTGAAAGAGGCCAAGGCCACCGGGACACGCCGCGCCGGGAGGGTGTGCCCGCATCCCGCCCGCATCCTCCCCCGCAGAGGGTCGGCCCAGGGCCTCCACCCTTGACAGGTCAGCCGTCCAGGCCGGGCGCGGCTCAGAATCCCGGCGGGGCCCGGGGGTCACTGAGGCTGGGGACGCGCGGTGAAGATGGAGGGAGTGGGAGCGGGGTGGGGGTGGGGCGCCCGAGCCGAGGCTCAGGGACCGCAGGGGGCCGGGGCCGGGTCCGCGCCGGCGGCGGGGCTGGGGCGGCGGGGACGGGGGTCCGGGCCGGGTCGGGGTCGGGGGGGTGCGCAGGGAGCGGAGGGTCCGCCCGGCCCGGGCGCCGAGGGGGGTACCTGCAGCCCGGCGGCGACAGCGAGTGGAAGGTGGAGAGAGAAAACATCTCCGCGCGATCCGCCATCTTCTCCGGGAGAGGCCCGCGACTGCGGCGGGGGGTGCGGGAGCCTCGCCGCGCCCCGCGCCGGCGCTCGGCCCGCCCCGCTCACCTCGTGACACGCCCTGCGGCGTCCGCCCCGCGCACCTCGCCCGGACTCCGCGGCGGCGCGGGGAGGGCGGCGGGGGAGGCGGGGGAGGGACGCGGCCGGGGACGCTGGTTGGAGGAGAGGCGGCGGCTTCACTGCCGGGCGCTGGTTGGGGAAGGGCCGGGCGTGCGATGAGGATTTTTCCCGGGGAGGGGCGGGAGGGAAGGGGCGGGCGGGTGGGCGTCGGGCCCCGCCCTGGAGGACCCGCGCGGGGCGGGAGGCCGAGGAGGCAGCGCCGGGGTCCGCGGGCCTCGGGTTCGCCGTGGGCTGTTTCCTCTGGGCGAGAGGCCGGGGCGGCCCCGGGAGCTGCGCCGCCGCGCCCAGGATCCCCCCAGGAACCCTAACCCGGGTGCGGCCCGGAGCGGGGTGGCGGGCGAGGCGGGAGGCGCGGGAGGAGCTGTCCGCCGTCGGGTGCTGATCGGAGCTGTCCCCACGGGGTGCTGACCGGGGCTGCACGGGGACGTCTGCACGAGGGTCGCCGAGCAGGGCTGGATTCAGAATCGAGCACAAGGTACTCAGAGGATGCTGGCTGGGGCTAAAAGTGGACTTTGAGCACTCAGTAGAGACTGCACAGCCGGACGGACGTACCGACGGGCACTGGGAGAAGTTAGCACCCACGGAGGCGACATGCGTCCCACTGGAAACACTTTTTCTTGGGCACCGTGTTGCTGGGCCCTGTGTAGGGAACTGACCCGCTCTGGCTTGGGATGGAGCCCTGTGGGGAGGGCCATGGTTGAAGCTGAGCTCGAGACGGTGGCTGTGGGAGGAGGCGGGAGATCAGGGTTGAGGGCGCAGAACTAGGGAGAGACTGCAGGACACTTTTTTTCTTTCTAAAATAGAGACCGGTGGCTGGGCGCGGTGGCTCACGCCTGCAATCCCACCACTTTGAGAGGCCAAGGCGGGTGGATCACGACGTCAAGAGATCGAGACCAGAGACCATCCTGGCCAACATGGTGAAACCCCGTCTTTACTAAAAATACAAAAAAATTAGCCGGGCGTGGTGGCGGGCGCCTGTAGTCCCGGCGACTTGGGAGGCTGAGCCAGGAGAATCATTTGAACCCGGGAAGCGGAGGTTGCAGTGAGACGAGATTGCGCCACTGCACTCCAGCCTGGCAAGAGCAAGACTCCGTCTCAAAAAAAAAAAAAGAGAGAGAGAGAGACCGGCTCTCTCTGTATTGCCCAGGTTGGTCTCAAACTCCTGGGCTCAGCTATCCTCTGGCCTCAGCCTCCCAAAGTGCTGGGATTACAGGTGTGAACCACAGCACCTGGCTAAATATTGGCTAAAGAAGGAGGCTGGCATTTCAACAAAAGCGCAATCCCTTTTCCCCCTTGATGAAAGTTATGTGCCCTAAGATTTCTTTATGTCTTAGTTCTGCGGAAAATTCTTTTTTTTTTTTTTTTTTTTTTTTTTTTTTTTTTTTTTGAGACAGAACTTGCTCTGTTGCCCAGGCTGGAGTGTAGTGGCACGATCTCAGCTCACTGTAACCTCCACCTCCCGGGTTCAACCGATTCTCGTGCCTCAGCCTCCCGAGTAGCTGGGATTACAGGCAATCACCACCATGTCCGGCTAATTTTTGTGTTTTTAGTAGAGATGGGTTTTTGCCATGTTGGCCAGGCTGGTCCCAAACTCCTGACCTCAGGTGATCTGCCCTCCTTGGCCTCCCAAAGTGCTGGGATTACAGGCGTGAGCCACCGCCCCTGGCCTGGAAAATTATTCCTTAGGAAAGGACAAGGCACTTGAGTGACAAACACCAGAAACGACATGGCAGAAGGAGCTCATGCAAGTCGGGAAGGGGGGTATCACCATTCCAGCTCAGAGAGAGGCCTGTGGCCAGGGCCTGATTGAACCTGCACTCTTTGGTGTCCCATCACAATTTATATTTTATGCCAATTACAGTATTTTTCTAAGAATGGCATTTACTTGGCTGGGCACAGTGACTTACACCTGTAATCCCAGTACTTTGGGAGGCCAAGGTGGGTGCGTCACTTGAGCTCAAGAGTTTGAAACCAGCCTGGAAACATGTCTCTACCAAAAATAAAAAAAATTGGCCGAGCCCAGGAGGCAAAGGTTGCAGTGAGCTGAGATCACACCACTGCATCCAACCTGGGGGGCAGAGTGAGATCCCATCTCAAAAAAAAAAAAAAAGCCATTTACTAGTTTATGCTTGCCTTCTTGACTTGGGTTGGCTGGAGAGAAGAGAGGCTGTCATCTCTCTGTGAAGCCCTAGGCTCCAAGCATGGTGCCTGGCAAACAGTAGGTGCTTAGCAGACATGTGAATGAATGAATGAGAGAGCTTATGGTCTCTAACCCAGTCTGGGGCATCAGGTCTTTGCCATAACAGTCTTTTCCCTTTTAGAAGCACTAAGAACATTCCCCATTTCTGAGGGAGTCTGGGCCTATTAACCACTCCCTGCCTTTCCCAAAAAATCCAGATCCCTTCCCAGATTTCACAGAGAGTTTGACCTCAACTTTCCAGATTGGCTTTTGATCCTGAGTCTTTTCACCAAACTGGTTCATCTGGACATCCACATAAATGACCCATCCAATACCCTGGTCAGTCAGTTCCTTGATTTCTGATCTGTCAACAGTCTTTAATACTCAAGTGTAGTGACCTCTCCCACAAAGTGCCTCCAGGATCTACCTTCATCTGGAATTGCAGCAAGCTTAAAATCTTTTTTTTTTTTTTTTTTTTTGAGACAGGGTCTCACTCTGTCACCCAGGCTGGAGTGCAGTGGTGTGTCCCTAGCTCACTGTAGCCTCAAACTCCTGGGCTCAAGGAATCCCCCTGCCTCAGCCTTCTGAGTAGCTAGGACCACAGGTGCACACTACCATACCTGGCATTTTGTTTGTTTTTGTAAAAACAGGGTCTCACTATGTTACCCAGGTTGGTCTTAAACTCCTGGGCCCAAGCCCAGGTGATGGCCTCCCAGAGTGCTGAGATGACAGGCATGAGCCACAGCATCCAATCTGAAGTCTTATAGTCTCAAATTTCATCTTAGATCCTAATCCCCAAAACCTTCCTCAAGCCTCTCCCCTTCCTTCCCTCCCTCTTAAAAGATGGTCACTCCCAGGTCCCATGAGCGTAAAGACCATGAGATGGGGGATACCGCCCGCAATTTTATCTGTGGACCTCCCATCTTGCCCCCAGAGCACAGATGGAAGATCGTCGGCCTTAAAGTCTGAAATACGGGAGCCACTCTTCATTTTGCACCAACTTGTTGAACGTGGGCAAATTACTCAGTTCCTCGAGATCTTGGTTTCTTCCTCTGAGCAATGGTGCTGCGAGGACCACATGTCGTGGTGTAAGCCCCAGACACAGGCCCTGTTGTTTGTTGGTGATCATTTAAGGCTCACCTTTCCCCTGCTCCTCACACCGGGGACATGTCCTCCCAGTCCCCCAGGGCTGCTCTGTGCAGCTCAGGGATACATTAGTGAAAAGGCAGCAACTCTTTCCTGAGGGGGTTTATGCTCCTTACATCATGCACATTTTATCAAATTTGCACCTTCCTTGTGTGCTCCTCAGAGCATCATTGTATGGATGAACAAATGGGGGTCCACAGGGAGCTGAACATCCCTCCTTGAAGTTCCTCCTCCAGCCTCTGGGCCACAGGCACTGGGTTTTCCTTCCTGACCACCACCCGTTGTCAGCGTCCTTCCAGACTCCTTCTCCTTCAATGACAAATCAAGATGTTGTGACGCGACCATTTTAACGCTTTCTTCCCTCTATGGTGCACGAATGGCATAGACATTACAAAGCACAAAATTGATTGGACTTAGAAGGGAGAGTTGGAATCGCAACAGCTTCCACAGTCCTGACCACAGCAATTCTAAAAAGTCAGAGAACATTTTCTGACAACTTTCTGAGAGATTAGAAAACAAATGCAAACTATCAGTATTTATTGTACTCATATTTCACAGAAATCACAAACACAAAATAAATATGCCAATGGTTAAAACTGCAAACAGACACATTTAATAAAGATGAAAATTAAGAGTTCTACCTTCACCATGGTGAAGTCCTAACGCCACCATTTCCCGAATCTTCATTTTTATGCAGCCAGGTCTCTGATCACTACCTCCTACTTTTCTTGGTCTCTTGCTGCATTACTACAATACCCACTTTTTTTTTTTTTTGAGACAGGGTCTTGCTCTGTCACCCAGGCAGGAATGTAGTGGTGCAATCTCAGCTCACTGTAACCTCTGCCTCCTAGGTTCAAGCAATTCTCCCACTTCATTCCTCAGAGTAGTTGGACTATAGATGTGTGCCACCACACCTGGCTAATGTTTTTATTTTTTGTAGAGACAGGGTTTCATCATGTTGCTCAGCCTGGTCTCAAACTCCTGAGCTCAAGCAATCCACTCACCTCAGCCTCCCAAAGTGCTGGGATTACAGGCGTGAGCCACTGTGTCAAGCCTTTTTTTTTTTTTTTAACTCCATAAGAAATGTGCTTCAATTACTATTACTGTGTAACAAATTATCCTCAAATTTAGTGGATTAAAACAATTAAGTTGTTATTTACAATTGTTTGTTTTGAGGGTGGAAATTCAGGAAGGACTCCAATGGGAAGTTCTTGCCTGGGTCTCTTTTGAGGTTTGGTTGCAGTTGGAGGTAAGCCTGGCTCGAGGTCTGAGATGGTTCATTCAGAAGGTTGGCAGTGGATGCTGAGTGTGAGCTGGGGGCTCTGCTGCGGCTGTCACCAGCATATCCACTGGGCTCTCCTGCATCGTGGTCTCAGGGTAGTTTCTTTTCTTTTCTTTTTTTTTTTGGAGACAAGAGTCTCGCTCTGTCACCCAGGTTGGAGTGCAGTGGTGTGATCTTGGCTCACTGCAACCTCCACCTCCTGGGTTCAAGTGATTCTCCTACCTCAGCCTCCCGAGTAGCTGGGATTATAGGTGCCTGCCAGCACGCCCAGCTCATTTTTTTTTTGTATTTTTAGTAGAGGCGGGTCTTCGCCATGTTGGCCAGGCTGGTCTGGAACTCCTGACCTCAGGTGATCCGCCCACCTCGGCCTCCCAAAATGCTAGGACTACAGGCGTGAGCCACCGCACCCAGCCAAGGGTAGAGTTTCTACATGATGGCTGGTTCCCATCAGAGTAAGGATCCTTGGAGGGCATGCCCTTTTCTGGTCTAACCTTGTAAGTCCTACAGCATCACTGCTGCTGTGACTATTGGCCAAAGCAGTTGCAAGCCTACCCAGCTTCAAGAGGGGGGTCACAGACCCTACCCCTCCATGGGAAGAGTGTCAAAGAACTTAGGAGCTGTGTCATAAAACCACTGCAAATCTGCAGTCCATGTGTCATGAAACCACCACAAACCTCCAGTCCATGTGTCATAAAACCACTGCAAATCTCCAGTCCACGTGTCATGAAACCACCACAAACCTCCAGTCCACTGAACCTCGCTCTTTCCTCAATGTCCACTCAAGTTTCTTACCTGACATTAACCCTCTCAATCGTCAACTTGTCCTTCTCTTCTGGATCATTTCCATCAGCAAACAAGCATAACCTATGTTAAAGAAAATGGTAATTCTCACCTGATGGTACAGGACATCCAAAATCATGGCATTTACAACATTGTTATGCCTTAATGAAAGTGACAGTAGGCCGGGCACGGTGGCTCACCCCTGTAATCCCAGCACTTTGGGAGGCCGAGGCAGGCGGATCACAAGGTCAGGAGATCAAGCACAATGGCTAACACGGTGAAACCCCATCTCTACTAAAAATACAAAAAATTAGCCAGGCGTGGCGGCAGGCGCCTGTAGTCCCAGCTACTCGGGAGGCTGAGGCAGGAGAATGGCATGAATCTGGGAGGCGGAGCTTGCAGTGAGCCGAGATCACGCCACTGCACTCCAGCCTGGGCGACAGAGCAAGACTCTGTCTCAAAAAAAAAAAAAAATCCTTCTGGTTTAAGAAAGAAATCTCACACATAATTATACCTTTCAGAAAACAGATTTCTATCAGTGCAGAAGATGATTATAACATGCATCAGTTGAAGTTTTTAAATAGATTGCTACTATCAGGAATTTTTTTTTTTTTTTTGAGACACGATTTTGCTCTGTCGTCCAGGCTGGAGTGCAGTGGTGCAATCATAGTTCACTGCAACAACCACCTCCCAGGCTTAAGCCATTCTCCCTGCTTCAGCCTTCCAAGTAGCTGGGACTACAGGTGTGTACCACCACACCCAACTCATTTTTGTATTTTAGTAGAGATGGGGTCTCACCATGTTGGCCAGGCTGGTCTCGAACTCCTGAACTCAAGTGATCCGCCTGCCTCGGCCTCCCAGAGTGCTGAGATTACAAGCATGAGCCACCACGCCTTGCCAGGAAATTTTTTAAATCTCTGAAATCTGAATGTCTCACTAGACTCCTTCATAGAACGTACATGCCCAAAGACACTTTTATAATAACTGAAAAAACAACAGGATTATACACTTTCATGAAAGTCTTTGCACTGCAGCAGAGTCATAGCCCCAAGGAGGACAGCACTGCAGCCTCGACAAATCTCTCTCTGACATACAAATTTTGGAGAGTTTTCCATTTACTGCGATGAGCACAAAGGGAACAGGCCCAGCAAAGCATGCCAGGAGCTATCAAGCTGCAGAATGTCTGGTGAGCGCTTCCCAGATTTCCCCAGTTCCTCCCAAAGATGCACTAAAGTTGGTGATGACAGGGCTCTGCCTGACAGGGAGACTCCCTGATAGGTTGCTGGAGACCCTGAACAGAGATTTACCAAGCCTTTTTTGGCGGGGGGACGGAGTCTCGCTCTGTTGCCCAGACCGGAGTGCAGTGGCGCGATCTCGGCTCACTGCAAGCTCCGCCTCCCGGGTTCACACCATTCTCCTGCCTCGTCCTTCCAAGTAGCTGGGACTACAGGCGCCCGCCACCGCGCCTGGCTAATTTTTTGTATTTTTTAGTAGAGATGGGGTTTCACCGTGTTAGCCAGGATGGTCTCGATCTCCTGACCTTGTGATCCGCCCACCTCGGCCTCCCAAAGTGCTGGGATTACAGGAGTGAGCCACCGCGCCCGGCCGGCTATCAGGCCTCTTACACCCACAAACTTGTCATCTTGGAACTCCCAGCATAATTACCTAATTTGATTAACAAAAACTGTCTTTTTTTTTTTTTTTTTTTTTTTTGAGATAGGGTCTCACTCTGTCACCCAGGCTGAAGTGCAGGGATGTGATCTTGGCTCACTGCAACCTCCGCCTCCTAAGCTCAAGCAAACCTCTCACCTCAGTCTCCCAAGTAGCTAGGACTACAGGCACCCGCCACCATGCCTGGCTAATTTTTGGTTTTTTTTTTTTTTTTTTTTTTTTTTGTAGAGACAAGGTTTCACCATGTTTTCCAGGCTGGTCTCCAACTCCTGGGCTCAAGTGATCCACCCGCTTCGGCCTCCCAATGTGCTGGGATTACAGGCGTGAGCCACCATGTGCAGCCTCAAAAGCTGTCTTCATCCTCTGGATCTAATAGCTAAGTTCTAAGTACAATCTTGCTACACGGGCCGCAGGATAAGAGACCGGGCAGCTGGCAGGATGGCACTTCTTCCCTCCCCTGCCTCACTTTCTCACCCACCCACCTTATTTCCTGCAGCTTCAAACAAACTCCTTGCATGTGAATCCTCGTTTTAGCTACTTCTTCTGAAGGAATCCAATCTAAGGCATCCTGCTAATTGTGACACTCACACTTAAATTATCAAATCGTAAAGTTAATCAATAGTTTTACCCTTTTCCTGAACAATACAAGGACCCGAGAAGTATTTAACTCTGTTTACTCCAGTCCCAACTTAAATTTTATTATTATGCATTTTAATATTCTTTATTTTTCCTTTTTTTTTTTTCTGGTTTTTTAGACAGAGTCTCACTGTCACGCAGGCTGGAGTGCAGTGGCATGATCTTGGCTCACTGCAGCCTCGACCTCCCGGGCTCAAGCAATCCTCCTGCCTCAGCCTCCCAAAGCACTGGGATTATAGGTGTGAGCCACTGTGCCTGGCTATTATTTTTCTTTTCAAGACCCATAGGAATTGTTATTGTTGCTTTAAGCCATTGATGTTTACTAGATTTACCCAAATGTTACCTCTTTCTATATCCTTCATTCCTTCTTCCTTGTCAGATCACCCTGTGATACCAATTCCTTACACCTTTTAAATGTTTCTTTAATGAGAATCTTCCGTAGTAAACTCAGTTTGTCCGAAAATGTCTTCATTTTGTCCTGGTTCCTGAAAGATATTTTTACAGGATACAGAATTCTGGGTCATTAGTTTCCATTATCACCTCGAAGGTCTCGTCCATTGTCCTCCTCTGGCTTTCCTTGTCGCTAGAAAACATCATCTCTCAGTCACTCCCTTGAAGGTCATTTTCCATGCATCTCCAGCTGCATTTAGGACGCTTTTGTCTTTGGTGTTCTGAAGTTTCAATGTGGTCTATCTAGGTGTGGGTTTATTTTGTATTTTTTTCTGCATGAGGTTCTCAATTATATAAATTTATATGAATTTCTCAATTATGTGACTTTCATTAGTTTAGAAATTTCATAGCCATTATCTCTTCAAATATTTCCTCTGCTCCATTCCATCTCTTCTCCTTCTGGCACTCTAATTAGGCTCATGTTGGATTTTCCTATTCTAGCCTTTATGTCTCTTAACCCTTTTTCCAGGTTTTCCAAATCTATGTCTTTCCAGGCAGCATTCTGTATACTGTATTCATATTTATCTTTTAGCTCATGAAGTCTCGCTTTGGTTATTTATAATCTTCTGTTAAACATGCATACTAAGTTTTTAATTTAGTTGAAATTAAAATTCAACTAAAATTTGAACTAAATTAAAACTTTCCTTTTAGAACTTCCATTTGGTTCTTTTCAAACTGCTTGACTATTCTTTATAGTTTTGTGGGTTTTGCACACATTTTCTTTCTTTTTCTTTTCTTTAGAGACAGGGTCTCACTGTGTTGCACAGGCTGGAGTGCAGCGGCATGATCACGGCTCACTGTAGCCTCAACCTCCCATGCTCACGTGATTCTCTCACCTCCCAAGCACCTGGGACTACAGGTGCATACCACCGTTTCTGGCTAATTTTTTATTTTTTTGTAGAGACAGGGTCTCACTATTTGCCTAGGCTGGTCTTGAATGCCTGGGCTCAAGAATTCTTCAGCCTTGGCTTCCCAAAGTGCTGGGATTATAGGCATGAGCCACCATGCCCAGCCTTAAGACATATGCAGATGTAAAACATAACAACACCAATACAGAGGATGGGAGGAGAAATGAAAACATACTGCTGTAAGGAGGCTCTTACATTATATGTAGATGCCATAACATCATGTGAGGGTAGACTATGACAAGTTAAAAATGTATATTATAAATCCTAGAGAAAACATTTTAAAAACTACAACAAGACACAATTAATAAGCTAAGAGTGGTAATAAAACAGAATACGAAAACATACTTGATCAATCCATCAGAAAGCAGAAAAGAAGTGGAAATGGAACAAAGGTAAGATGGGACAAATAAATAGCAAGATGGTAGATTTAAACCCAATAATATCAATGATTACATTAAATAGAAATGATCTAAACTCAGATTGAAAGGCAGAGATTATCAGAATGTATTTAAAAAGTGAGACACAAACTATAAGCTACCTCAAGAAATGAAATGTTAAATATAAACACCAAGATAGGCTAAAAGTAATAGACTGGAAAGAAAGAAAAATAAAGGAGCCAGGTGTGGTGGCTCATGCCTGTAATCCCAGCAGGGAAGCCAGGGTGGGAGGATAGCATGAGCCCAAGAGTTCGAGACCAGCCAGGGCAACACAGTGGGACCCCATCTACACACACACACACAAACACACACGCTAGCCAGGTGGTGGCACACACCTGTAGTCCCAGCTACTCAGGAGGCTGAAGGATCGCTTGAGCCCAGGAGGTCAAGGCTGCAGTAAGCTGTGATAGTGTCACTGGACTCCAGCCTGGGCAACAGAGTGAGACTCTGTCAGAAAGAAAGAAAAGAAAGAAAAAGAGAGAGAGGAAGAGGAAGAGGAAGAGGGAGGGACAAAGAAAGAAAGAAAGAAGGAAAAGAAAGAAAGAAAGAAAGAAAGAAAGAAAGAAAGAAAGAAAGAAAGAAGGAAAAGAAAGAAAGAAAGAAAGAAGGAAAAGAAAGAAAGAAAGAAAGAAGGAAAAGAAAGAAAAGAAAGAAAGGGAAAAGTGAATTAGAAGGAAAGATCAGAATCAATGGAATAAAAAATATATACACAGTTGAGGGTAATCAATGAAACCAAAAGCTGGTTCTTTAAAAAACTCAGTAAGATTGATAAACCTCTAGCTAGACTAACCAAGAAAAAAGAAGACATAAATAACCTTATCAGGAATGAAAGCAAAAATATCATTATAGATTCAGCAGATATTAAAAGAATTATAAAACTATGAACAACTTTATGCCAATAAACTTGAAAATGTAAATTAAATGAACAAATTTCTTGAAAGACACAAATTACCAAAGCTGGAACAAAAAGAAAAAGAAAAATCTGAATGGCCTCATAATTACTAAAGACATTGAATTACCAATTAAAAACCTTTCCACAAAGAAAACTCCAGATCCAGATTGCCTTACTGGTGAATTCTAGCAAACATTTAAGGAAGAAATAATACTAATCCTACATAAACATTTCAGGAAACAGGAGGCAGAAACCTTCCCAACTCATGTTATGAAGCTAGAATGTCACTACTGAAAATGTGGAGAAATCGTATCACCAAAGAAACTACAATCTAGTTTGTCAAACCCTCTGACAATTCAGCTCCTAAAGTAATCCCTACAAAAGCCAGGAGGCATTTGATCCCATAGAAGAAACTACGCAGCCTCCAAGAAGGTTCCTCTCCAGTGTCCTCCTAGATGTGGACACGAAGTCTAACAGACAAGGAGAAACATTCCAGAAAACTGAGCCGGCGCTGCCAGGAAAGGGGACTTCACTATTTATGCTCAATAGGATTTGGCAAGTGCCACAGACTAGAGATCGGGTCTAAATATGGGGTCTTTGTAGTATTTACCCAATTCTTACTCTTTTGTTTTGTTTTGTTTTGTTTGAGACGGAGTTTCACTCTTTTTGCCCAGGCTGGAGTGCAATGGCGCGATCTCAGCTCACTGAAACCTCCGCCCGCTGGGTTCAAGCGATTCTCCTGCCTCAGCCTCCCGAGTAGCTGGGATTACAGGCATGCGCCACCACGCTGGCTAATTTTGTATTTTTAGTAGAGACGAGGTTTCTCCATGTGGGCCAGGCTGGTGTCTAACTCCCAACCTCAGGTGATCCGCCCACCTCAGCCTCCCAAAGTGCAGGGATTATAGGCATGAGCCACTGCGCCCGGCCCTTAATCTTTCTTTGTATGTTTGGGACACATAAAATATGTTTTAGTTTATACGACATTGGATTAAACTAGTGTACACTGAGTTTGTTGGAGGATGAATGACAAACCTTTTATAAGTCACTGGACCACAAGGATCTACCTCTGGACCTGAAGGAGCAAATTGCATATAAGTCAGAGAACCTAAATTTTGAGCTGGATGCTGCAACTAGTTAGAACTTTTACAGTGGTCTCCCTTAAGGATAAGGTGAGTGAGTTTTGTATACAGGAAGTAGAGAGGGCATGGCCAAAGGGGCAGATGGTGCCCTAATATCAATTTTCCAGTTTTCCCATAATTTTAGAATCCCTAGCCAGCACCTACACCTGGCCTTTATCCATTCACCTGCCGACGCACACTCAGGTTGCTTCCTAACTTGGCTATTGTGAATAATGCTGCAATGAATAAGCTGGTACTGATATCCTCCAAGATATTGATTTCATTTCCTCTGGATATACATCCAGAAGTGGGATTGCTGGATTGCATGGTAGTTCTGTTTTAATTTTTTACTGTATTCCATAATGGTTGTACCAATCTACCTTTTCACCAACAGTATACAAGGGTTCTCTTTTCTCCACATCCTCGCCAATATTTGTTATCTCTTGCCTTTGTTTTTTTTTTTTATATAGTAGCCAAACTAAGAGGTGTGAGGTGGATCGCGTTGTTGTCATATCTCGTTGTGGTGTTTGCATCTCCCTGATTAGTGATGTTGGGCCCCTTTCATATACCTGTTGGTCATTTGCATGTCTTCTTTGGAGAAATGTCTATTCAGGTCCTTTACACATTTTAAATTGGGTTATTTGGTGTTTTGCTATTGAGTTTTGTAAGTTCCTTATACATTTTGGATATTAACTCCTTATCAGATACATGATTTGCAAATACTTTCTCCCGTTCCATGGGTTGTTGATCGTACCCCTTTACTATCTTGAAAAGAAATTTATAACCTATTTTTTTAAATTACACAATGGTCTAATGAAGGGATAGAGAGAGGAGAGTGGCAGCCAGGTCATGTCACATACATCACAAATCCACTCCACATTCTCATCTTCCCATCAATGTAAACCACCAAGGAGTCCAGGCTTCATTCAGCCACCCAGGCACGGTCATAACTACTCCCAGGCCTTGAGCCAAAATACGGAATCAAAGATTCTCTTTGAAGTGCACTCATGTTGATAAATTTGCACTAACCTACAATTCATTCTTGGCTTTGTATCCTCACAGTCCATTCCTGTATGTATTCCCCTCGCCTTTTTTTTTTTTTTTTTTTTTTTTTTTTGAGATGGAGTTTAGCTCTGTTGCTCAGGCTGGAGTGCAGTGGCACAATCTCGGCACAGGCTCAGGGGGCCGCCATGGTGTCAGAGAAGGCCTGGAGCAGGAAGTGCAAAGACACACAGCAGAGATGCAGCTCTGTGTCCACTGCAGTTAAAGGTGGGCTGAGGGCATCAGCCAAGACACCATCTCCTGCCCCTCTCAGATCTAGTCAGCTACAATATTGAGTCTACTCTGTCACGATTCTTCAAAGTAAAGGCTAGTTACAACTCCTATGAAAGCCTTAATACAAGAGGCTTAGCAGAACAAATACAATCCCCACTGCCACAGCTTCTCCCAAGTAACAGATATTCAGCAGCCACCTCCTCCTTGGCCTCACCCTCACCAGCATTCCAGCTTGTCTCCATGGCTTGCCTGGTGACGCTGCCCAGACCTTCACCCTGAGGCATCTGAGCCCTTAGGGGCTATGGCTGCTGAAAAGACCTTTTCATTGTCATTACTTGGCATGGAAGCACCAAGACAGACCTAGATGAATCCTCTAAGTGCCAGATCAATGCCTGCTTGCCCCGTTACGCAGCAGCCACGCTACCTCCTCACCGTTTATCAGGATCAAGTATCCCCTCCTTTGTGGCCTGCTGGTCCACCAGTATGAGGAGCTGAGAGTAACCTGGTGGTCTTTGCAGATTCAGGCTCAGCAGAGGTATCCTTCCTGCAACCAGCAGGAGTGCCCTCGTGGAAGCGTTCCTACCTGGGAAACAGGCTCTAATCCAGCAGATCCTAAGGCTGTGGAGACAGAATGTACAAATTCTACGTGTAAGCACTGGGAATGATGGTGAGAAGTAGCTAATCCCAACCCTTGGGTTCCTGGACCTGTGTCTTTCTGCTTGGATCCACATGAAGTATCTACTGGGGGCAGAGCACCATATATTAGACTCTGATTCAGTGTATATATCCCAACTCCTCAGGATACTGTCCTAGAACCAGGACCTCAGCTAAGCCCTTAAGAAGTCATCCCATCTTTCCAGTAGCCTAGCTGCTTTTACGTAACGCAGGATATTAGAGAAGCAGTGGATCCCATGGTCATCCACACACTACCATACCTCTTTCGCTATAAAATGGCTTTCTTGGCCTGAGGCGATGTGATTCGTGATCCCATGTTGGTACACGGAGCATGCCTGAAGCTCCTGGATAGTGATGCTGGCCTGGGACCCTGTGGATACAGAAGACAAACCCTTATCCAGAGCAGGTGTCAACTCCAGCAAGGATGAAGGGCTGTCACCAACTTGCCACTAAGTAACTAGTTGGGGTGCTCTAGGGATGGTATCTCAGCAGGGGCTCAGCACTGATCGCTTTCAGCAGGAGTAATCATGAGACAAGCCTTGAGAAAGAAGGCCTGTGCTGGTGGACGCTAACCTGTGCTCCTTCTGCATGACGCCGCCACTCACAGTCCACTGTTCAAGCACAGGGGTAGCCAGGGGCACAGCTGACTGACATCCCATCCATCCTGCTGTTCACCAACTCCTCTGCAGTATTAACACAAGGCAGAGAGATGCACATATTGTGTGGCCACTCCTGTAGGTCCATCTTCCCCTCTTGCTCTTTTCAGGTCCCTGACCAGCCAGCAGGACGTCACAACCCAGAAGTCCATATGCGTCCCTCCCTCAGGCCACTACTCTGTCCACTGCCTCCATACAAAGTGGATATCCACACGAACTGCTGGAAGCTCAGCCCCATGGAGGATTTCCTATTGTCGTCCTTTAGGGTCACCTTGAATGGGACTGTAGTGTACCTATGGTTCATTTTCAGTTCATATCAACACATCAAACTGACCTATATACGAACCAGACCAGAATGCTTATCTGCTAAGGGAGAAATATCAGTGCAAAGCAGATGTGGGGCCACACTGCCACCTCTTCCTGTAAATAACTGTTACCCACTAGACACGCTTGGGTCCAAGCCCAAGGCTTCCTTTTTCATTGTACCATCAATTGCTACTGAGCCTCTGACCTACTGACTTGGAGGATCTGACAACACCTCGCTTGGGCAGACCCTGTCGCATGGTCGCTGATGTCCCACCAGCAGGTGCTCGGTCTCTACCTGGGTCTGGTAGTGTGCCTGATACTGCTCTCACTTGGCGAGTAGTTCTCTGCTGCAGAAGGCATGGTCTTGTCCAAGAACTCTAGGACAGTGTACTGCAACTCTTCCGTTGGAGTTTGCCAGAGATGCCATATAGGGTCCTTCCTACCCCAAATAAGCCCCCCGGTAACCCATTGGATCTATGCAGCAGGGAAGCCCATCTCCCAATCCAAATCTTTAGCAGAGCCCTCTTTTTCTCTGGGCCCCACTCAAAGCTGGCAGTTTTCCCGTTACCCAATAAAGGGGTCAGAGAGGTATCCTCTAGCGCGGTGCATGCTGACTCCAAAACACAGAGGTGCCTCAATGCTGTGCCTCTTTCTTCCTTGTAAGGATGCAGGATGCAATAACTTGTCCCTGGCTTGCCCTCAAACGCTGCACCCCTGAGAATGTCACTGATATGGCAGGCTCCAGAACTTCTGAGGGCTTCTCGCTCATCCTCTGACATGCACGGCCTTCTTCACCATGTCCAACTAGTATGACATCATCAATGTTATATGGAATATAGATGATAAGCTACCTAAGGACTATTGTGACAGAGAACAGGAGAGTTCAGACAGCAAGAAGCAAGACCATTTACAGAGCTGTCCTTCCCATATAAATGTGAACTGCTTTTAATCCTCTTTACCACTGGCAATTGAAAAGAATGTTCACCAAGTCAATAATTGCATTATCAAGAGCCAGAGGTGCATTTATCGGTTCCAGTAAAGATACCACACCTAGCACAGCTGTGTGATCGGGGACACGACTTGGCTAAGTTTGTGCAGGGCATCATCATTTACTTGAATCCACCAAGATTTAGCAGGAGCCATTCAGGTTAATTGAAGGGATGAAACGGTAACCACTGCTTTATAAGTCTTTGAGGGCGAAATACCTCTGCAATTACACCTGGAATGCAGCATTGTTTCTGACTTACTATCTTGGAAAGGTTTCAGTAGGGTGAGGAGTTTCAAAGGTTTCTACTTTGCGCTTCCTTACATATGGTACCAAAGGCCTGGGATCAATGTATACGCTCCGCCCTCTGCTAGGTAAAAACATCCCAAGTATGCATTGAGACCAGAGAAGTAACCACAGGACTCGGGTTGGGAATTCTGCTTATCATCTGATTTCCATAAGCCTGCACCCTAATGAGAGGGCCATGATGCTTCAGGGCTCCTGGAAACAGTGTCAGCTCAGATCCTGTATCAGCCCTTCAAAGACCTAGACAGTCCCTTTTCCGAAGTAAACTAGTTTTTTTGGTGTGTTTGTTGTTGCTGTTCAGACAGTCTTGCTGTGTTGCTCAGGCTGGAGTGCAGTGGCGTGAACACAGGTCACTGCAGCCTTGACCTCCTGGGCTTAAGTGATTCTCTCACCTCAGCATCCAGAGTAGCTGGAACCACAGGCACCTGCCACCACGCCCAGCTAATCTTTTAATTTTTGTAAAGACAGGTTCTTGCTATGTTGCCCAGGCTGGTCTCAAACTCCTGGGCTCAAACGATCCTCCTACTTCGGCTTCCCAAAGTGCAGGGATTAAAAGCGTGACCCACTGCCCCCAGCCAGAATCAGTTTTCTTTTTTTTTTTTTTTTTTTTGAGACTGAGTCTGACTCTGTCGCTCAGGCTGGAGTGCAGTGGCTCGCGGCAACAAGGCCTGGGTTCAAGGGATTGTCACGCCTCAGCCTCCCGTGTAGCTGGGATTACAGGCACAAGCCACCAAACCCGGCTAATTTTTGTATTTTTAGTAGCGACGGGGTTTCGCTATGTTGGCCAGGGTGGTCTCAAACTCCTGACCTCAAGTGATCTGCCCGCCTCGGCCTCCCAAAATGCTGGGAGTACAGGCGTGAGCCACCACGCCCGGACCAGTTACTTTTTAAAGTGGCTCTAGGTCCCTTTAGGGAAGGATTGGAGGAATATTTCTTGGTATATGCTCAGATGCTGGTATTGTAAGATCCTTCCTGAGAGGAACCAAGCCTCCTTGTCAATTAATGGGCTCTAGGTCTCAAAACTGACTCAGATTTAAACAGAATGATCATGATTTTCCACTGCAGCAAAAGTGACATTAGCCTTGTGATCACCAATTTTTGATTTCTTTCTGGTTATCAAACAATACTCTAGTCAGATGCCCCAAAGAACACCATGGTTCGACAGACATTGCCACAGATCTCTGTGGGTCCAGCGTTCCTGGTCGCCGCTCTAGCCTGGGGCAGAAGCAGAAATGCAGGAGGCACGCGTTTAAATCAGGACGCCCTCAATGGGAGGTGCGCAGGCCGAGGAGGGGGCTGCGGCAAGCTGCGAGTCTTCACTTTCTTCGGCTCTTGGGTTTGACTCTGTAATTGGTTCTAGGCCTGGAGGAGACGAGGAGGATAGGGGGAGAGGGGAATGAATGAAGACGCGCATCTCAAGCGGGGCAGCAAAAGACTCCTCATTCAGAGGTGCGGCTCTACCGGCCAGGGAGTCCCCGTGTAGACTGGGCATTTATGCAACTGGAGTCATCGGAACTGTCCCAAGGGTCACATTCCTTCAGCAAATGTTTACTGCGTACCCACCGGGTGCCCGCATCCCGCACTCTGCCCGCGCTGTGCGGCCCTGCCTAGCGCGCGCGCCTCCTCCAGGCCTCACCCACGCTCAGGACGGACGCGCGCTGGACGGCTCTTCCTTGTCGGAGCGCCCCAGGGGTCGGGGAAGAGGGCCCGGCAAGGGAGCCCTCGCGCCGGAGCTGCAGCTGCAGCCGCCGCCCCGCCGCCCCGCCGGCTCCCACGGGGCAGAGACGCAGCTCCTCTCCGGTCTTCCCGTACGCTACCGCGCCCGGGCAGTTCCTCGCCCGCGCACGCGCCGCTCCGCCAACTGATTGGCCTCCGGCGCCTCGGATTGGCCCAGGCCGTCCAACAGCAGCCCCGCCCAGAGAGAGACCATTGGTCCTTGCCCATAGGGGCGGGGCCCGGCAGAGATCTGCGGAATTCGGCCTTCGGAAAGAGCCCCCGGGCCGGGGCACGGAGAGAGCCGAGCGCCGCAGCCGTGAGCCGAATAGAGCCGGAGAGACCCGAGTATGACCGGAGAAGCCCAGGCCGGCCGGAAGAGGAGCCGAGCGCGGCCGGAAGGAACCGAGCCCGTCCGAAGGGAGCGGAGCGCAGCCTGGCCTGGGGCCCGGTCGAGCCCGCGCCATGGCGGCCGAGGCGACAGCTGTGGCCGGAAGCGGGGCTGTTGGCGGCTGCCTGGCCAAAGACGGCTTGCAGCAGTCTAAGTGCCCGGACACTACCCCAAAACGGCGGCGCGCCTCGTCGCTGTCGCGTGACGCCGAGCGCCGAGCCTACCAATGGTGCCGGGAGTACTTGGGCGGGGCCTGGCGCCGAGTGCAGCCCGAGGAGCTGAGGGTTTACCCCGTGAGGTGGGAGGTCAGGGGTCAGCCTCTCCGGTGCGCGGATCGGGGTCAGGGGTCAGCCGCGGGGCCCTCAGGATGCTCCATGTTTTCGCCCCCCTCTTGCGCCCGCGCCTGGGGCGGGGCGGGGCCGGCCTGGCCGGGAGGGGGCCGGGGCCGCGGCAGGTAGGGCCGGCCGCGGGCTGAGCGCGCCTGGTGTGGGTCTGCAGCGGAGGCCTCAGCAACCTGCTCTTCCGCTGCTCGCTCCCGGACCACCTGCCCAGCGTTGGCGAGGAGCCCCGGGAGGTGCTTCTGCGGCTGTACGGAGCCATCTTGCAGGTGAGGGGGGTGTGAGCGCCGCAGCACCAGTGGCTTTAGGGCCTGTCGCTTACGCGATGCGGGTAGTATTGTTCCCGTTGCGCAGTTGAGGACACCGAGGTTCACGGTCTGAGTAACACCTCATTACACCGAAGCCTGGGCCTGTATTCCCAGAGCTTTGGGAGGCTGAGGCGAGAGGATCACTTGAGCACAGGAGTTCGAGACCAGCCTGGACAACATAGTGAGACCCCCATCTCTAAATAAAAATAGACCAACGCTAAAGCCTGTGCTCCAGAGCCTCCAGGCAATTGGATCAGAAGTCGCAGCTCTGGTGGGAGGAAGGCGAGCCCTCATGTGTGTCCCTGTGCCACTTTGCCTTGGCCCCTTTGCTGTCCATCCTTTTTCAGGGCGTGGACTCCCTGGTGCTAGAAAGCGTGATGTTCGCCATACTTGCGGAGCGGTCGCTGGGGCCCCAGCTGTACGGAGTCTTCCCAGAGGGCCGGCTGGAACAGTACATCCCAGTACGGGCCCAGTCCTACCCTCTCCTCCCCAAGGCACCTCCACCCCCTAACCCTACCCCAGTGCCCAATGTCTGCCTCCACATCCCTCACCCCAAGTAGGGAATTTCCCCCAAAACCCTGACTTCCCCTCATTGCCCCAGCCCTTCCCACTCCTGCCCCAGCCCCATCACCACCCTGATAGCTTCCTGGGTGCAGAGTCGGCCATTGAAAACTCAAGAGCTTCGAGAGCCAGTGTTGTCAGCAGCCATTGCCACGAAGATGGCGCAATTTCATGGCATGGAGATGCCTTTCACCAAGGAGCCCCACTGGCTGTTTGGGACCATGGAGCGGTGAGTCAGGAGCCTCCTCAGGGCTCCTGTACTCCTGAGCTGAACCTCCATGCCAGCGGATGTGTCGGGGGCTCTATCCAGCCCTCCACTTGAGTGGATCTGATGTCATGGGCTGTCACAGAACAGGCTTTTAAATGCTTGCCAGAGGCCACATGCAGTGCCTCATGCCTGTAATCCCAGAACTTTGGGAGCCGAGGTGGGTGAGGTGGGAGGATCACTTGAGCCCAGGAGGCGGAGGTTGCAGTGAGCTGAGCTCATGCCATTGCACTTCAGCCTGGGTGAGAGCAAGACTCTGTCTCAAAACACCAAACAAAAAAAGAAAAAAGAAATGATTGCCAAGGCCAGGCACGGTGGCTCATGCCTGTAATCCTAGCACTTCGGGAGGCTGAGGTGAGCAGATTGCCTGAGCTCAGGAGTTCAAAACCAGCCTGGACAACACAGTGAAACCCTGTCTCTATTAAAATACAAAAAAATTAGCCAGGCATGGCAGCATGCACCTGTAGTCCCAGCTACTCGGGAGGCTGAGGCAGGAGAATTGCTTGAACCCGGGAGGCAGAGGTTGCAGTGAGCCAAGATCGCGCCACTGCACTCCAGCCTGGGTGACAGAGCAAGACTCCATTTCAAAAGAAAAAAAGAAATGATTGCCGGACAAGTCACACAGTGATAGGAGCAGGGGTGCAGTAGTCTGGCCTGAGGGGTAGATAGGCGAGGGGTGGGAAAGAATAGCAGAGCCAGTGTATCCTATTCTTTGGGCTTCAGGTACCTAAAACAGATCCAGGACCTGCCCCCAACTGGCCTCCCTGAGATGAACCTGCTGGAGATGTACAGCCTGAAGGATGAGATGGGCAACCTCAGGTGAGGGCAGGCAGGACAAGGCTAATGGTAATGGTGTCCGCCCTTCCAGTAGTTGCTGAGGGCTGGTGTCAGGGCCTGGCCTGTTAGGGTGGCTCTGATCCTCCTCTAGTCACTCCTGCTCAGGACCCATGCTCCCATACCCCTGTAGGAAGTTACTAGAGTCTACCCCATCGCCAGTCGTCTTCTGCCACAATGACATCCAGGAAGGTAGGAGAAGGCATCTGAGTCTCCTAACCCAAGATGGAAGAGCCAGAGGGCTCTGGAGTGAGCAGAACCTCACCCCATTCCCCCAGGGAACATCTTGCTGCTCTCAGAGCCAGAAAATGCTGACAGCCTCATGCTGGTGGACTTCGAGTACAGCAGTTATAACTATAGGTGAGGCTGGAAAGATGGCTTCCCATAGATCTGTTCCCATAGGGCTCTTGAAAACAGGCCAGCTGCCCAGGGCATTTGGGGACTGAATGTCCACCTTATTCTCCCAGGGGCTTTGACATTGGGAACCATTTTTGTGAGTGGGTTTATGATTATACTCACGAGGAATGGCCTTTCTACAAAGCAAGGCCCACAGACTACCCCACTCAAGAACAGCAGGTATGTGGGCCAGAGGCTGGGGAGCAGGACCCATCCTGTGAGGAAGGAGGGAGGTGGAGTCTGGAAGGAATGGCCGGAAAGGATGTTACCTGGGAAATACTCCACAGTCTCCCCAATTCCTGACTCTTGGCCATTGATCGTAGTTGCATTTTATTCGTCATTACCTGGCAGAGGCAAAGAAAGGTGAGACCCTCTCCCAAGAGGAGCAGAGAAAACTGGAAGAAGATTTGCTGGTAGAAGTCAGTCGGTGAGGAAGGAGGGGCAGGGTGGGGTAGGGCAGAGCAGAGGAAAGAGGGATTGGGGAAGAGGCAGATTTATCAAGCTGCAGGGAAGGTGGCTGTGGAGAGTGGAGTTAGGACAGTGGGGGAGAAGTTAAAACTGTAGGGATTGGCCAACCTGGGTGAGGGGATCCAAGCAGTGCTAGACATGCTCTTGAATGCCCCTCCTTTTCCTGCCCTCCCCCCAGGTATGCTCTGGCATCCCATTTCTTCTGGGGTCTGTGGTCCATCCTCCAGGCATCCATGTCCACCATAGAATTTGGTTACTTGGTAAGTGACCCTGGGGATGGGAATGCTAGCTGGGGGGCTGGGGAGCAGCAGCAGCCACACTCTTCCAGGAGGCCTGGGGAGTCCCGGGTGGCTGTGGGCAGCCTGAGGTGGATGTAGAATGCTGGTCCCACGTCTTCTCACCACTGTGTGGGGTGGGTTTCCTTCCCTAGGACTATGCCCAGTCTCGGTTCCAGTTCTACTTCCAGCAGAAGGGGCAGCTGACCAGTGTCCACTCCTCATCCTGACTCCACCCTCCCACTCCTTGGATTTCTCCTGGAGCCTCCAGGGCAGGACCTTGGAGGGAGGAACAACGAGCAGAAGGCCCTGGCGACTGGGCTGAGCCCCCAAGTGAAACTGAGGTTCAGGAGACCGGCCTGTTCCTGAGTTTGAGTAGGTCCCCATGGCTGGCAGGCCAGAGCCCCGTGCTGTGTATGTAACACAATAAACAAGCTTCTTCTTCCCACCCTGTCCTGGCCCTGCTGAGCAGCAGCAGAAAGTACCAAACCGAGCAGTACACACAAAGGGACTCTTCAGTGCTCTGGGATTGAAAGTGGTTAGCGTTCATGCTGCCAGTTGGGGTCCCCCATCCCTCCCCAGTCCCCTGGCTGCAGCTTAGAATAATAAATACTAGGACTTGGGGAGGAGGAGAGTGATGGGGGTATGAAGACGACCCTGAGGTGGGGATGCCGCCCGGAGCACCAGCGATCCCAGAACAGGCAGCAGCTGACACATCGGTGACCTTTTCCCTACATTTGGCTATTTTTAGCTCTAAAGCCACCATCCTCACGAGACTCTGGGGCCCCCCAGGCTCCCAGACCTTTGAGCAACCTTCACCGCACAGAAACCCAGCCGCGCCCTGCAATTCCCACCGCGGAAGGTGGGTGGGTTCTGGTTCTCGCCCCACGTTTTTCCCCGACCCCGATTTGGGAGTAGGTGTCAGGTTCCTGGTGAGGGCGGGGCGGGGGTGGCTAGGCCTGAAGGACGTGGGGACACGGGCCAGAGTGGCTGGCCCCACGCACGGACAGGAGTGAACCCGAGCTGTGAGTAGGGGCCGGCACAGGGCGGCCCGCGGGGGTCTGGGCCCTCAGCCCTGCACAGGGGCGAGGACGGCGCTGGGGCCCGCGCGCTCGGGTGGGGAAGGGCGGGCTCCCGAACCCTGCCTCTGTCCAGGCCGGCTCCACTTCCAGGGGCGCCTCTCTCCCCTGCCCGCGCCCTCGCTGACGCCCCCCAACTCCAGGCTGCCCTTCGCCGTCCTTGGGGCTCCTGGAGCTTTCAAGGCCCAAATCCCCTGCACCACAGTGGCTGTGCCCACCCGGAAGGCTGGCGCGAGGATTTGGCGGCGGTTGGCCTGGCGGGGGGCGCGGGCCGGGGGCAGCCGCTAGTCGCGGGGTGGGGGGCGCGAGGGGTCGCGGACTGGCTGGGGGCGTCTCGGCGCGGCTGGCGGCGGGGCCGGCCTAAGCGCGCCCGCGCACCCATCTGCCCCCGTCCTAGGTGCCGACCAACCCCCAGGATGGCGGAAGCTCACCAGGCCGTGGCCTTCCAGTTCACGGTGACCCCAGACGGGGTCGACTTCCGGCTCAGTCGGGAGGCCCTGAAACACGTCTACCTGTCTGGGATCAACTCCTGGAAGAAACGCCTGATCCGCATCAAGGTGCGCACAGGTGCTTCTCCCAGAGCGTAGGCAGAGGCCGGCTGTCAGCTGTTAAGCGCTTTGTTAGGGTCCCTCACTGCCTCCTTGGCTGGCACTTCTGCCCGGTACAGGTTGTGGAAGTACAGACACCAGAGGGGTGCACAGGATGTGGTCGGACACAGGGAGCTGTGGGTGTGGCGGAGGAAGGAGCACAGCAGGGCATCAGGAGAGAAAGCCTTCCAGGCCAAGACCAGGAGCCAGTTCCCAAGACTTCACAGGCAGGCTAACCTCCCGCCTTCCGGCTCCATAAGGGCGCCTGTTTCTGCCCACAGAATGGCATCCTCAGGGGCGTGTACCCTGGCAGCCCCACCAGCTGGCTGGTCGTCATCATGGCAACAGTGGGTTCCTCCTTCTGCAACGTGGACATCTCCTTGGGGCTGGTCAGTTGCATCCAGAGATGCCTCCCTCAGGGGTAAGGAGTGAAACTGGAAGGGCACAGGTGCCACCAGGGAGGGCTGGGCCCAGCTCCCAAGGCTGAGGTTCCTGAGCTGGGCAGATACAGGACAGCAGCCATTGGCAGTCACGGGGCAGCCCTCCCCTATGACAACCATTGTCTTAGCCCTACATCCGCTCATTTGATGCAGTCAGACATGAGTGTGCCCAGGGAGGTTCTTCCCCTTGGTGTCTCCCCTGAGACAGTTCACAGCCACCCGAGGCTGGCCTCAAGAGGACCCCCTGCAGCCCTTGCCCCTCTCCAATAGGTGTGGCCCCTACCAGACCCCGCAGACCCGGGCACTTCTCAGCATGGCCATCTTCTCCACGGGCGTCTGGGTGACGGGCATCTTCTTCTTCCGCCAAACCCTGAAGCTGCTTCTCTGCTACCATGGGTGGATGTTTGAGATGCATGGCAAGACCAGCAACTTGACCAGGATCTGGGCTGTGAGCAGCAGCCAGTGGAGGGGTTCAGGCACCTGGGTTGAGACTCTTTGGACTCCTTTGGGGTTCTGAGCTAGACGGGAGAGGCAGACAGGGCACTGGTGCCTGGTGTGTGGTTTGTCCTGGAGGGGCTGGGATGGCTCTGAGGGTCTCAGGGAGTTGCTGGTTGGTTTCCATTTTTTCCACTGGCTCCCACCCCAGCACTCTGCTCTGTACCCCCAGATGTGTATCCGCCTTCTATCCAGCCGGCACCCTATGCTCTACAGCTTCCAGACATCTCTGCCCAAGCTTCCTGTGCCCAGGGTGTCAGCCACAATTCAGCGGGTGAGGGCCTCGCTTGGGCATCCCAGTGGGCAGGGGAGGTTGGATTCAGGAGATGTTTCCAAATATAAGGTTCTGTGCAAAGAGTGGCCTTAAGGGCTTGAGAATAATGGGGCTGGGTGAGGAGGGAGAGGTGGGAAGAGGATTAAGATAGAGGCAGCCCTTGCCATCTGGCCCCACGGTGATGATAACTGGCTGGACAGTACCTAGAGTCTGTGCGCCCCTTGTTGGATGATGAGGAATATTACCGCATGGAGTTGCTGGCCAAAGAATTCCAGGACAAGACTGCCCCCAGGCTGCAGAAATACCTGGTGCTCAAGTCATGGTGGGCAAGTAACTATGTAAGTTCCTGCCCCTGGGCTCACTGTCACCTGCCATGTGTCCTGGCTGCACCCGCCCCAGCTCTAACCTTCCACCTCCCCACAGGTGAGTGACTGGTGGGAAGAGTACATCTACCTTCGAGGCAGGAGCCCTCTCATGGTGAACAGCAACTATTATGTCATGGTATGAACTAGAGCCCCCAGGTCCCCGCACGTGCTCAGCTCTGTCCCAGCTCCAAGGCAAGGGATCTGGAGGACAGCCCAGAGCTCTAGTAGCAGCTTCCGTGGGCAAGTGGGGGTTATGGAGTGAGGCCTGAGGGAAAGGGAAGAGAGAGAGGAGATCCTAGAAGAGTCCAGAAGCAGCTTAGGGGCAATGGGGATCCTAAGGATGAGGAGAGTGGAGACCGCCAGCCTGCCACCGCTTCTCAGAGTCCCGGGGTCACTGCCCCTGCCCAGCTCGGGCTCTGTCACCTCTTTCCTTGGTTTCCTCACTGGCCTCCTGGCCATGGGTTCCCAGCTGTCCTGACACCATAACCAGGGAATTGTCTAGAACGTGTCTTGCTTTGTGTCCCTCTGCAGAGCCGGACAGCAGAATGGAGGCCAGGCTGCTGCTTTTAGAGCTCAGGAAGTCAGTCTGCCTCTGCCCCATGTAACTGGCCCTTCTGAGTCTCTGGGTCTCCCAGCCACCTGGGCTGTATGGCATGCCTCTTCTCTCCTTTCCCACGGTCCAAAGCACACTTGACTTGCCAGAGCCTACTGGAATTCTCCTCCATAAGCTGTCCTTCCAGGAACTTACACACAACTTGCCCATAGCAGAGGTTTTAAACTGCTTTTTAGTGGTAGAACCCCTTTA